>NC_000012.12:45641946-45793461 GCF_000001405.40 Homo sapiens | reverse complement strand
ACCAAGTATTAGACAGTGATAGGTCAAGGGTGAGTGTAAATAATAAATTAATAAAAAAGAATAAAGATGAAAAAATTCCTCAGTTAATTCAAACAAGATAAAAAAGAGAAAAAAAGTATTAAAAAGCAGAGAGATAAAAATACAAAATAAGTCTTTTTTTTTTAATGGAGGTTCACTCTTGTTGTCCAGGCTTGAGTGCAATGGTGCAATCTTGGCTCCCTGCAACCTCTGCTTCCGGGGTTCAAGCGGTTCTCTTGTCTCAGCCTCCCAAGTAACTGGGATTATAGGTGCCCAACAGCATACCCGGCTAATTTTTGTATTTTTAGTAGAGATGGGGTTTCAACCATGTTAGCCAGGCTGGTCTCGAACTCCTGACCTCAGGTGATCCACCTGCCTCAGCCTCCCAAAGTGCTGGGATTACAGGCGTGAGCCACTGCACCCGGCCCAAAATAAGACTTAAACCCAAATACATCACCAGCCATATTAAATATAAACAGACTAAACAATTTTTTTAAAAAGATCCTCCAATTACATTTTAAAAATTCAAGTATATGCTTTTTATCCAGAAGGTTGAAATTTTAAAATGTAGATATTAACCAAATTGGCTGATATAGCTATATTAATATCAGATAACACACTTTAACATAAAAACCTCTATTAAAGATAAAGCAAATTTTATAATAATACTATATTTAACTCATTTTAAAAAACATTCAATTGACCAGGAAGATATCATTTCACCTTTGACCTAACAAGAGCCCCAAAACATAGAATGCAAAATTGACACAACTAAAAAAAAATGACAAGTCCATAATTAATAATTGTCATAGTTTAATTTTTAAAACCTATCTCTCTTAATAATTGAAGAAACAAACCAAGAAAACACAGTAAGGATACAGCTTTATCTGTATTATTAACAAACTTGAACTAATGGACATACTGTATACAAAGCACTGAACTCTGCGTTACAATGCACAACATACTTAAGCACAGATAGAATATATTTAAAAATTTACCATATATTGAGTCATAAATTGCAAACAATTGGGATCATATATACTATGCTCTCTGATCACAGTACATATTAGGTAACAATAACAGAAATACTAGGAAATCCTTCCATGTTTGGAAATTAAGAAGTGTATTTTGAAATAACCCAAAGGACAAATAATCCTAATACTGTAGAAAGTAGGAAAACATTTTAACCTAATCATAATAAACTAGAACATGCAAAACTTGTGGGAACAAGCTAAAAGCAGTACTTAAGACAGAAATGTACAGTCCCAAAAACAAAAATATTAAAAAGCAAGAATGAAAATTAATTATGAGCATCCATCTCTAAAAGGGTTTTAAAATAGAAGGGAATAAAAGGCAAATGCAGAAATCAATGAAATAGAAAATTAATATAATATAGAGAATCAACATAGTCAAAGTAGTTTATCAGAAAACACGAATAAAATTGATTACTTTCTGGTGAGACTGATGGGGGTGGAAAAGAAAGTGCACTAATTACCAATGTTAAGAATGAAAGAGGGGACATTAATTATAGTTCCTGCTACCACTATAATATTTGACTAGTGCTATAATTACTGAAGAAATTCAATCTGTAATACAAACTGTTCCACAAATAAAACTAGATTGCAGACAACTTTCTTGCTGGTGGGAATTATATCAGATAGTTGAGAAATAAATTACAATCTGGGCCGGGCACAGTGATGCACGCCTGTGAGTCCCACCTACTTGGGAGGCTGCAGTGGGAGGATCACCTGAGCCCAGGGAGGTCCAGACTGCAGTGAGCCGTGATTGGGCCACTACACTCCAGCCTAGATGACAGAATGAGACCCTTTCTCAAACAATCAATCAATCAATCAACAATCTTACATATACTTTTCCAAAAATAAGGAGAAGAGTTCATCAGAACCCTGATATAAGAACATTTCAGAAAAAAAGGCCAAATCACACATATTAATAGACAGTTGTAACACTGTAAACAAAATATTACCAAATCAAATACAAGAAGATATATTAAGGATAAAACTTTATGAAAAAGTTGAGTTTATACCAGGATTTAAGGTTGGCCTAACATTTTTAAAATGTAATTTGCCACATTAAAAAATATGGAAGACAAATCATATAATAGATGAATTAAAAGTATTTGATAAAATTCAGTATCTCTTTTCAATTAAAAGGAAACACAGCTACTACTTCATACCATTAGGACTGCTACCACACACACACACACACACACACACACACAGAAAATGTGCTGGCAAGAAAGTGAAGAAACTGGAACCCTTGTGCACTGCTGGTGGAAATATAAAATGGTGTAGCCACTATGGGAAACAGCATGGCAGTTCCTCAAAAAATTAATAATAGAATTACCATACAATCCACCAATTTCACTTGTGGGTAAATACCTTTAAATAAATGGAAAGCAAGGACTCAAAAGATTATTTGTACACTCATGTTCATAACAGCATTATTCACAATAGTCAAAAGGAAGAAGTAGCCCAAGCGTCCACTGACGAATAAATAGATAAAAAAGAAAACAAAGAAAAACCTCTTCTCAAAGTAGGAACAGAATTTCCTTATTTGATAAAGGGAATTATTAAAAAAAATCATATCTAAATGATGGAAGTTTTTCTTTTAGAACATGAAACACCACAAAGATGCCTGCCACCACAACTTGTGTTGAACAGTGTCCTAGAAATGCTAGCCAAGATAGTTTTTATGAAAGAAATAAAATTGACATTTGTGAACAGTAGCATTCCGCATGTAAGAAATTCAAAAGAATTTAAAGAAACATTTACTAATTTATTACCATTAATAAAGGAGTTCAGCAAGATTGCTGCATACAATGTTATATTTCTACATATAACAGCAAACATAAAATAAGAACATACAATTAAGTATCTAGGAATAAATCAGAGAACAATGTACAGGACCCTTACAAAGAAAATCATAAAACAGTACTGAGAGAACCACATAAACAATTTAAAATTTTCATGAGTTAGAAGGCTTAATATTATAAAGGTGTCAGTTTTTGCCAAATTTAGTTCAAATCCAAATTCCAAGTTTTTTAAACTAGAAGAACACAACATATTGAATCTATATCATACAAATATAAACGTAAAAAATTAAAGTTACAGAACCATAAGGCATAAAAGAGACAGAAACAATTCTTTGATTCTATAAAAAACTAAAACATAAGGTATTTTTAAGCATCATATAAAAAAGATGAACATTTAAAGGTAGTAAAAGCAAGTCCAAATATACCACTATTTGCAAATAATAAAAGTACTAATAAACTTTAAAGTTCATAGATAATAGAACTGAATAATTTAAAAATGGAAAAATACGCTATTTATAGGACATCTAAGTTATAAGTATAGAGGAAGGTTCCAATTAAAGGAATGGAAAAGTTTATATCATTTCCATTCGAATCACATAAATTGTGAGCTGCTCTATTAATAAAAGACAAAATCGTTTTGTTTTGTTTTGGTTTTTTTGGTAGAGAGGAGCTTGCTGTGTTGCCCAGACTGTTCTCCAACTTCTGGCCTCAAGCAACCCTCCCATCTCGGCATCCAAAAGTGCTAGGATTACAGACATAAGCCACTACACCCAGCCTTCAAAATAGCTTTAAAAAATATATTACTTGGTTCAAGAAGGGTCACATTATAATGATAAAAGGTTCAATTTCCAGAAATACATGATACTTCCGAAAAACTTGTAAGTACTAGTAAAATAGCCGCAAAATACTGAAGCAAAAGTTACTGGAATAACACAGAGCAATTGACAAATCCATTGTAGTGGGAGATTAATACATTTCTTTTATGTATTGGTAGTTCAGGCAGACCAAAAAAATTACTTAATAAAGCTACAGAAGACCAGGATGGTTATCAAGGCTAATTTAATATATATTTAAATTACAGAATACATATTATCCTCAAGCATATGAAGAATATTTATAAAATTTAACTAAAACTAGACCATAATGAAAGTCTCAACAAATATCAAAGAACTACAATCACGCAGACCACATCTTTTGACAACAATGCAATTATATTAGAAGTCAATAACAACAAATAAACACAGAAAAAGAAATATTGCCCCAGTAGAAGGCTAACATCTGAAGAACCAACCTAAGATCTCACAGACAAAATATAATCCAAAATGCACCACAGTCTTCTACCAGGCAAAGAATTAACCTTGCACAACTACTCCCAAGGGACATCTGACTAAGAAGGAAGAGATGTTCTGCTGGGCATCACTGGTTGTCATTATTCTACAGATAAGGAAACTGAAGCTTAAGGTAGTGAGTTTTACAACCAGGATTTGAATCCACACTGCCTATTTATAGAACTCATAAACTTATCCACTATTTTGACCCTTATAAAAGGCCCTTATTAAATGTTTGTCAGATTAGTTAATAATATAATAGATTATCAGGCTTGTCTGAACATCAGGTTAGAAGAATTAATTAAGAGCAAATGAACAGATTCTATTTTGACGTGCATTACTCTGATTAAGTCTGCAGGACAAAAAAGTCCTTTTTATACATTAGGTTAAACAGTTCAGCACATTTATTTAATACACATGATCTTAAAAGGAAACTGCTTTTGGATAGGTGAGCATCTATTCACACTCTCATAAAAGATTATGTTTAAATTTATTTTCCAAAGTTCTTGAACAGAGTTTGAAATGCTTTAAGTAATTTTTATTTTTTTCAGAATTCAGAATTCCATCTCTCACTGCTGGGAAACAAAAAGGGTGGTAGAAACCTTCAGTTTGGGGAATACAAAAGAAATTTCCTTGAAATTTTTCACTATAGGAGTATTATAAACTCCCATATCCTGGGTAGGGGGTAGGGAGCTATAATACTTCTTAATCAAATCGTAGTCTACTTCCTAATCAAAGTATAGACCATTTCCCTGATACATGTAAATAAGTATGAATTTAAAAGTAATCATTAACAATTTCTTTATAAAATAAAGATACATCAGGGTCATAGAGTATGCTTAAACAGTGTAAATATGGATAATGAAATCAAACTTGGAACTGAATCCCAATGCTGCCATTTATCAGCTACATGATCTTGAGGTTTGATAATTTATCTAATCCTCAATGTAAAACAGACACAATATCTACCTAATCGGTTTGTTGTAAAGAAGACTGTGTACTGAGCAAGGCATAAGTTGCTATGCATGTAATAACTAGTAGCTGCTAATATGAATAAAAATAGCATCAATAATTATCAATTAATAGCATTAATAGTAATGCTCATGTTCTCAATACAAAGTAATATAGAATCAAAGACAAATGATCTCTCTAAAGTTCTACGTTTAAATGTTGAATATTATAAAAATGATAACTATGTGAGGTAATGCATTTGTTAGCTAGGTTTAACCATTCCACAATGTACACATACTTCAAAACAGTATGTTGTAAACGACAAAAACATACAATGCTATCCGTCAATTTAAATAGAAAAGAATGAATGAATGCTTAATGTGCCCTATGAATGCTTGCCAGATTAGAAAAGCAAAAGGAGTGAAAATATATTCTAATAGGCAGGGTAGGAAAACAAGAGAAGACCTTTGAATCCTTAAATCTTGCCTAAATTCTAGCTTTGTCCATTCAAAGTGACTTTGACACACAGGTAAAATGAGGATAAGGATCCCTATATTAATATAATTATTCTGAAGCTTAATTAGGATAATATATACTAACAGCCTAGTTTTATGTCTATTCATTTAAAAAGTTTACAGTTTAAAGAAAAGATAAGGTTTAGGTAGTTAAATAATTTTAAAAATAAGATTAGTAAAGGCATTATAGCAGTGATATATTTTCTATTTTTTAATCAACAAATAAATGTTGTATATATTTATGGTATACAACATGTTTTGAAATATGTATATGTACACGTCTGTCCAGGTACAGGGGCTCAGCCTATAATCCCAGCACTTTGGGAGGCGAAGGTGGGAGGATCACTTAAGCCCAGGAGTTCGAGACCAGCCTGGGCAACACAGTGAAACCCCATCTCTACCAAAAAGACAATAATAATAATAAACAAAAATTATCCCAGACATATTGGTGCATGCTTGCAGTCCCAGCTACATAGGAGGCTGAGGCAGGAGGATCACTTGAGCCTGGGAGGTCGAGGCTATAGTGAGCCGCGATTGTGCCACCGTGCTCCAGCCTGGGTGACAGAGGGAGACCCTGTCTTTAAAAAAAAAAAAAAAAGAAAAGAAATAGGTATACATTGTGGAATGGCTAAAATGAACTGATTAACATTTGCAATATCTCACATACTTATCACTTTTTGTGGTGAAAGCACTTAAACTCTACACTTTTAGTTATTTTCAAGTATACAATACATAATTAATTATAGTCAGCATGATATGAAACAGATCTCTGGAACTTATTTCTCTTAAATAAAATTTTGTAACCTTTGACCGACATCTCCCCCATCTCCACAACTTCCAGCCTCTGGAAATCACCATTCTATTTTGTTTTATGAGTGTGACCTTTTTAGGTTCCACATATAATTGAGCTCATGCAGTATTTGTGTTTCTGTGCCTGACTCATTTTACTTAACGTCCTCCAGGATCACCCATGCTGTTGCAAATGACAGGATTTTGTTCTTTTTTACGGCTGAATAGTATTACACTGTGCATATATATCACATTTTCTCCGTGCACTCATCTGTCAATGGACACTTGGGTTGTTAATTCCATATCTTGGCTATTGTGAATAATGGTACACTGAGCATGGAAATGCAGATACCTCTTCAATATACTGATTTCTTTCCCTTTGGACATATATCCAGTAGTTGGATCGCTGGATCACACAGTAGTTCTATTTTCAATTTTTTGAGGAACCTCCATACTATTTTCCATAACTATACTAATTTCTCCCTTTCAAAAGAGGTCCTTTCCTTACACAACTACTCTCCAAACTTGTACAGGTCCCACAGAATAAAAGATCTGAAAAGCACTATCCTTGTTAATATCATCCACATTTACAGTGATAGCTTTCATATTTTATAGGACAATACTGATTACAAATATTAAATCATATTGTCATATTATGTCAGAATGTGTATTTCAAATTTTGGCTTAAAGACTAGTCACCATACTTATAAGGATAAATCCATACCCTTTCTGTTCTATGTAGTTTTCTTAAGGATTCTTAACATTGGGCTAGATTTGTCCTCTACTTTAAGCAACCAAAAGGATCAAAGGACTTACTACCTTTGTTTTTCATTGATAGACCAGAAATAAAAAAGCTATATATGCAGATAAAAAATGTGTACAGTTAAAATTATATTTATAAATATGAATCACAGTATATAAAAGACTGTAACTTTCAGTCCCTTAGAGATTGACAGTATTCTTTCACAGAGCTATTCAATATTGGGCATTAAATAAAGGTTTTTTGAAATATGACCCTCTCTATAGCCTACATCAGCAGTCCCCAACATTTCTGACAGCAGGGAATGGTTTCATGGAAGACAATTTTCCCACAGACCACTACTGGTCCATGGCCCAGAGGTTGGGGACCACTGCCCTACACAGTAAATCTATTATTTCACTGGATCTTTTTTAGGATATTTCTATTTTAAAGGTAATAAAATATAAGACCTAAGTACTACAGGTTGAGTATTCCTTATCCAAAATGCTTAGGACCAAAACTATTTCAGATTTTGAATTTTTTTGGATTTGGGGGGGTGTTTTTGTGTTTTTTTGGGAATGTTTGCATTAAGCTTACCTACTGAGCTTCTCTAATCTGAAAATTCAAAATACTCCAATGAGCATTTCCTTTAAGTGTCATGTTGGCATTCATAAAGTTTCCAATTTTGGAGCTTTTCGGATTAGGGATACTTAACCTGTAGTAACTTGTGTAAGGTTTTTTTTTCCACTAACCCAGGGGCGTTGTACTTAGGCCTTCTAAATCATAGTTCATTGCTCTTTCACTACCACATAAATCAGCAGGTAAAATCATTCTCCCTGATCACAGGAGGAGAGGCAAAGATTTCTGTGCGTCTTATGGAAAACATCAATCCTAACCGAATCCTCTCATTTAATATAATGAAAGATGATGATGATGATATTAGTTACCAATTATTAAACACTATGAGGTAAGTATTACTAAAACCTTTTAGTAAGTAGAAAACTGAGGGTTGAAGAAGGTAAATAATTTACCTGAGGCCAAAGCTAGTTAAGTGATAGAATCAGAATTCAAACTTGTTTAACTTTAGGGCACTCTGTGCTCCTGTCTCTATAATTTACTATCTTTACCTTATTTTCCATCACCTCTACTCTGGCAAGAGAATATAAGAAAATAAGAAGAGAGGCTTCTTCGCCTGAAAGGCTGATAGGAAATTCTCTGGTTAGAACAAGGTTCTCCTTTCTTATGTCTAATACAGATTTCAGCTGTTTATTCATAATTTATTATAACAGAAAGATAAAGGCTCCAAGTATTAGCTTCTTAACGAGCTGTGTGGTATTAGGCAAGTCACAAACTTTTAAATCCACAATTTCTCCACCTGAAAAAAGGAATAACATTATGGATAATAACAACTGTGGGAATTAAGTAATATTTGTGTGTAAACTGACTCTCTATAGAAAGGCAGGAGTTTAAATATAAATAATATTTTCTTCGTATGTGGTCTGCCTGGAATTAGTCAAGAATATTACAATCACAAACAAAACCATCAAACAAACATATATACAAAAGATACTCATCTTACAAAGAATTAATCAAAACCTAAATATTCCACAATTTTTTCTTTTCTTGAGACAAGGTCTCACTCTGTCACTCAGGCTGGAGTGCAGTAGCACGATCTCGGCTCAGTGCAACCTCCTCCTCCTGGGCTCAAGTGATCTTCCCGCCTCAGCCCCCTGAAAGTAGCTGGGACCATACCCAGCTAATTTTTGTATTTTTTGTAGAGATGGTGTTTCACCACATTGCCCAGGCCACCGCCCCCAGCTTCATTTAAGTTTTTCTTATATAGGTCTTACATGTTTCTCATTGTGTTTATTCTTAGATATTATTATAAGTTGGATCTTTTTTTATTAATTTTAATTGGAATTGCTGGTATCATATTTTAAAATAGTAGATACTAAGTTTTGCATATTTGGCTGGATACTGTGACTTGTGTCTGTAATTCCAGAGACTCAGGAGGCTGAAGCAGGAGGATCACTTGGGGCCAGGTGTTCAAGACCAGTCTGGGCCACACAGCAAGACCCTCATCTCTAAAAATAAATAACTAAATAAATAAAAATAAAAATAAAACAAACAAATTAGCCAGGTACAGCAGCACACACCTGTAGTCCCAGCTACTCAGGAGGCTGAGGTGGGAGGACTGATTGAGCTCCGGAGTTTGAGGCTACAGTGAGCTACAATCTTGCCACTGCACTCCAGCCCAGGCAACACAGTGAGACCCTGATTCTAAACAAAATTAAATAAAAACTTTTTTGCATATTTATATTTTTGGATTCTGTCCACTTTATAGAAGTCTCTCATTAGGTCCAATAGTTTTCCCATTGTTTCTTTGCTTTCCTATTTAACTTAAAAGTAGTGATAATTTTCTCGTCTTTGTTTAGTGTTGCTAAAACAGAACACCTGAGATTGGGTAATTTATAATGAAAATAAGTTTATTTAGCCAATGGTTCACAATTTCAACAGACTGGTACTAACTGACCTGTTAGGAACCGGGCTGCACAGCAGGAGGTGAGTGGCAAGCCAGCGAAACTGCGCTCCACCTCCTGTCAGATCAGCAGTGGCATTAGATTCTCAAAGGAGCGTGAACCCTACTGTGAACTGCGCATGCAAAAGATTTAGGTTCCATGCTCATTATGAGAATCTAATGATGTAACGTAATGCACTTAATATCATCCTGAAACCATCCCCCTGCCACAGTCTGTGGAAAAACTGTCTTCCACAAAACTGTTCCCTGGTGCCAAAAAGGTTGGGGACCACTGCTCTAACATTTCACCATTGAGCATAATGTTTGTTTTCTGATTAAATACTCTATCAATTTATTTTCCTCATTTACTGAGATGACCATAAAATTTTTCACACCTGATTTTCAATAATCCTAACATAACCCCCTACATGTTATGATATATTTTTCACTGTAGTGCTGCTGAATTAGCTAATTTCATATTTAGTTATTGATAGTCATAATTAAGGCTGGTCTAGATTAAACTTTGACATAATCTTGGTCAGATTTTATTACAAAATTAATCAGACTACTTTCCATCCTTTTCTAAGCTTTGGATTTTTTTTTCAATCATGAGAATCATTTTTCACTTTTTTTTTTGGAGACAGAGTCTTACTCTGTCATCCAGGGTGGAGTAAAGTGGCGTGATCTTGGCTCACTGCAACCTCTGCCTCCCAGGTTCAAGCAATTTTCGTGCCTCAGCCTCCCCCGTAGTTCAGTAGTTGGGATTACAGGTGCGCACGACCACCCCTGGCTAATTTTTATTTATTTATTTATTTTGCATTTTTAGTAGAGACAGGGCTTTGCCATGTTGCCCAGGCTGGTCTCGAACTCCTGAGCTCAAGTGATCTACCCGCCTCAGCCTCCCAAAGTGCTAGAATTACAGGCATGAACCACCGCACCCGGCCCATTTTTCACTTCTTAAGTTTTTTTCCCTGAGGTTTCCTATCTCTTCATTAGGGAAACAATAGAGCCCAACAGGTCAGCCTACAGACACTGTTGACAAAAAGGACTTTAGTTCAAGTCCTAGTTCTGCCACTTGTTAGTATATATGACATCAAGCACATTAAAATTACTAAATTTTGATTCAAAAAAATTTTTTTGAGACAGAGTCTCGCTCTGTCGCCCAGGCTGGAGTGTAATGGCGCGATCTCGGCTCACTGCAACCTCCACCTCCCGGGTTCAAGTGATTCTCCTGCCCCAGTCTCCTGAGTAGCTGGGGTTGCAGGCATCTGACAACATGCCCACCTAATTTTTGTATTTTCAGTAGAGACGGGTTTTCACCATGTTGACCAGTCTGGTCTTTAACTCCTCACCTCAGGTGATCCATCCACCTCGGCCTCCCAGTGTGCTGGGATTACAGGCATGAGCCACCGTGCCCAGCTTGATTCAGATGTTTAAATTTATTAGTATTAGTTTTACTTTACAGGTTTCTCATTTTTTTAATCTCCTCCGTTTTTATAGCTATGTATTCTTCTGACACCTAATGTTGTATATTTGTGTTTTCTACTTTGTTTCTAGACACATTTGCTAGTGAATATTCTATTTTTATAAAATTTTGTAGCATGTGCCAAATCCAATTCCACAATTTCAATTTATAGCCCTTCTCACAAGTCATCTTTTTAAATCTACTCTCTTTTTTAAAAAAAACTTACTAGTGTCCCTCCTTCATCCTCAAATTTTTCCCTTAATTCTCTATAACTTTTATATTAACTTTTTATACCTCCCCTTTACTGGTCATTTAACAGTTACTGAGGAAACAGCAAGTTTTATCTTGTACTAGAATTGTTCTCCCACAACTGGCCCACAAAATATTTGTTCTTCAAAATCTTAATAGATACTGTACCATAAAAGGATTCCATACCAATTAACTCTGAGAAATATGGGTTTAAACAGGTTCCTTTAGCTAAGAGCACTTAAAGTATGTTAATGTGCATTGTGAATCTATAGGATACAATAAGCAGCTTTTGTCAGATTCACAAATCCTTCCTTAAACTCCCACCTACAAACCTATCCATATCTTACAGGCAGTTGGTGAAATACAGCCCTGGGAAATTCAGTCAGCAACAATCACTTCCATTTTTAAAAGCCTGAAAAGCAGAGTTATGGTGAAGCCCTTCAAACCAATCCAAGTAAAGTACTTCCAAGAAAAATTATAACAGAAAAGTGGAGGTTCCTCAACTTGGCGAAAATATATCCATTACTCTTGTAAGACTTGGTACTTACCGGAAGGCTAGCAAGTAATGACCAATGATAATCTGACCTTTATTCCAAAACATAATCAACATGTTATATTTTAAGGGTTTAGTTATACTAGGCAAGTACTGAGTACTCAATTGATAAAATTTGATGTGCCTGGCCAATGCCCTCATTTCAATGGGCCACAAGGAAATTAATTCTGTCAACAATCACTGAGTGAGTTTGAAAGCAGACTCCTCCCTAGTCAAACTTTGAGATGACTGAAACCCAGGCCAACCATTGACTGCAGTCTTGATTGCAACAGATTGACAGTGACAGACTCTTAGCTAGAGTCTAAGCTAGAACTAAATTGTGCCCAGATTCAGAACTCACAGAAACTTTAAGATAATAAATGTTTGTTGTTTTAAGTGCTGGGTTTGAGGGTAATTTGTAATGCAGCCATAAATAAGTAGTATGATTTCTTTCAGCTCTGTTTTTATGGGAGTGGGGGATTTAGTGAGATTGAAAACTACTTCATAAGTAATTTTAAAAACAAATATTACTCTTAAAAGTAAATGCTATATTTTTCTTTAATTTTGGAGGCCAATTTTAACAGCTAAGCAAAGAAAATAATTTCAGCCGGGCGCAGTGGCTCACGCCTGTAATCCCAGCACTTTGGGAGGCTAAGGCAGGTGGATCGCCTGAGGTCAGGAGTTCGAGAACAGCCTGGCCAACATAGTGAAACCCCATCACTACTAAAAATACAAAAAATTAGCCAGGCGTGGTGGCAGGCACCTGTAATCCCAGTGACTAGGTTGGCTGAGGCAGGAGAATCACTTGAACCCGGCAGGCAGAGGTTGCAGTGAGCCGAGATCACGCCATTGCACCCCAGCCTAGGCAATAAGAGCAAGACTCCGTCTCCAAAAATAATAATAATAATAATAATTTATATCAATTTACTTTAAAATGTAAATGTACTCTGCTGTTTAGTTACCAAAAAAGCAATTCCTTCTTCCCTTCTCAGATAAATTATTATAGTATCATTAATTCCAACATGTATTACCATATAAAAATCAGATGCTTTATTTTCTATCAGCTTGAGTTTCCCAAATGAAAAAAAGCAGATACTAATCACATCACTTTTCATATGAATAAAACTTATACAGAAAACAAAAACAGTGCAAAGTACTCCTCCCCCAAAAGGCAGAAGTCATTCTTTAACTATAAGGCCATTTATTCCCATGAAGTCATTTATCCCAAGTTTTTAAACACTTGTTTATGGTTATTTTAATTTTCAAGATAAATTCTACCCCCTCATCCCTAACTGCAGTGTAAGTTCCATCAGATGATTGTCAGTTTGTATCAGCAATGTCTACAAAGTGTGTGGCACACTGTAAGTGGTTAGTAAATACTTGTTGAATGAATAAGTCTATCAAAATCTGCTAAACTATAACCAGCATGTAGTTAGCATTTACCAACTACTAGGCAATCTGCTAAGTAAGTACTTTACATGTATTAACTTTCACAATCCTTGTAAGAAACTGTTTTTAATCTTATTTAATAGATAAGGAAACTGAGGCCTAGAAGTTAGACAATTTATCCAATATAAATATTGTAAGCAAATGACATAATCTTAATAAGTTACTAAAAAGTCTAATTTCAAAGCAGCGCTCTTACATTCCTACATTATAACAGCCATTCCTAAAATTTGATAAATGAGCAAGGATTTATTTTTCTATAGAAAAATACTTCTCAGTATGAATTTTCTCTTGCTTTTAAAGCTGCTTTATTTCAATAATATTATTGAATAAATTATTATTTTAATAAAACTGCCAAGTTTTGATTTGGCAAAACTAAAAGATGACAGAAAACTAATGAGAATTACTCTAAAAATCCAAATAATGATCAGAGGCAAGACCTAAAGTTCAAGTGAAAGTCTATTAATCAATGGTGATTCCCAATGGATCCTCTTACCATTACAATGACCAAATATTTCCAAATCTCCTGGCTGTTGACAATGTTCTACTAAACTACATTTTAATTTAAATTGATAAAGTCCAGGTATGTTTTTTAAATGTTCAATTAATCCACTTAAAACTATAATGTAAAATAACATTTTCAGTATTTTGACAATATTTGACAGAACAAAGTACAATTTTTCACAAATGAAATAGTAAAGATTTTTAAAATGCAATTATGATACTAACTGGTGACAAAAGTATTATTTTATAGACATTTTACATACTGCTAGTGGATGTTAAATTGGATCAGTGTTTCTGGATGGCTACTTGGCAATATACATTAAGAATCTTGAAAACATTTATATTTCCTGACTTAGTAATTACCCCTCTAGAAATATAAAAGGAAATAATCAGACACAGATAAAAGATTTACAGATTTATAAATACATTTATGAACAAGAAGATTCACCACAAAATTTATAACATTAAAGCAAAAGGGTAACTTAAATGTATGACAATAAAAAGAAGTTAAAATTATGACACAAATATGAAGTTATTAAAATTATCTAAAAACTAAAGATATGGAAAAGTTATTGTTTATAATAGGTTAAAAAACTAATAAAGATATGAGTGATGCCAATTTTAAAAATTTATTTTTTAAAAGACTGGGAAGAAATAAACCAAAATATTAATTGTAATTATTTTTGAGTGGTAGGTTCACATGGGATTTACAGTTTCTTCCAGATACTTTTTCAGATGTTTCCAGATTTTCTATAATTAACCAGTATCAGCTTTAGGATGAAAAACAGCCCATTATTTTCCAAAGATTTTAATTCAGATTAATACATAAAATATTATATGATTTTTGAAGTATAATTAATATGTAAATGAACCGTCATTTATTTAAAAATTTAAATTAATTTAAATAAAAATTAAGTAGAAACTCTGAAAACACTGATTTTCTTACTAACCTAAGTAAATACACTGTGTAGTAAACTACATACACTGTATATAACTTCCGAGCAAATATAGATCTATCTAGGACCTATAGTCTTTTTCTTATTATTACTCTCTCTGCAGTCTTTTATTACTTCTCTCTCTGCCTTCTCTACCTATCTATATACACACAAATATCAAAAACAGCACTAAGTACTAACATACATTCAACTTATGAATATTCTTTTTTACACGAAATGTATATATTCCTGGCCTCTACCCAGAGTTATGATGAGGTTAGATACCCTGAAGTTGGAAGTGAAAAATAGCAAATTAACACCATAAGAGGTTACCTCTACTCTGCCATCTATATCCTAGATCTATAATAAGGCATTTTCTTGCGGGTTGGGGGGGGAACACATATAAACTGGGCTTTTAAGCATTCTTTTTTTTTTGGAGAAGTCTCGCTCTTGTCCCCCAGGCTGGAGCGCAATGGCGCAATCTCGGCTCACTGCAACTCTGCCTCCCGGGTTCAAGCGATTCCACTGCCCCGGCCCCCCTGAGAAGCTGAGATTATGGGCGCCTGCCACCACACCCGGCTAATTTTTGTATTTTTAGTAGAGACAGGGTTTCACCATGTTGGCCAGGCTGGTCTAGAACTCCTGACCTCAGATGATCCACCTGCCTCAGCCTCCCAAAGTGCTGGGATTACAGGCGTGAGCCACTGGGCCTGGCCGGTTTTAACCATTCTTATTAGTAAAATTACTAAATAGTCCAGTTTGTTAAAATTCTACTTGTTGAGTATAATATAAACTTTATAAAATATAAAATATATATTTATATAAAAAAATAAAATATATATTTATATAAAAAATATAAACTTTAAAGACAACAGTCCCTGTACTTAGTCCCTATAATCTACGACAACGCTAAGAAAGGCTAATGTATAATAAGCTAAACTAACATAAAATAAAAATTAGTTTACCAGCAAGAATAAAATATGTAGCACCTATATTGAAAGATAATTAGGGATAGACTCAAGTTAAGACTTTAGTAGTATAACCTGCATATAAAAAATTTGACTTACACGGAGAAAAATTAAGGTCACCAGTTGAAGTATCTCAATATTAATGTACTGCTTGTGCATTATTAAGAAGAAAGGCCCAAAGATTTGCAAGCTATAGATAATAGCACAGCTCTGTACATTTAATGTGATTGTATCTTCTATATATTATACACAATACACTATCATCTCAATGGCAATTCAGTCATTATGAACACATTAATTAGAGCATTAATACTTATTACACTACAATTAAATTCTCAAATAGACTAACAGTACTATTATAAGCATCCAAATCTGGAATTCTTTTCTACCACTATTTAAAAGAACATCTCTATACAATATATACTATACTATGAACTTTTAGAATATATTTTTAGACTTCTTTTCTTTAAATAATTGCAGTTTTCAGCATACTACCTCTTCTTATATATTATCATCCTAATTTCCATTTTTAAAGTTTCCTTTTTTATATAAAATATCTTATTTAAAAAATAGAGATGGAGGTTGGGCACAATGGGTCACGTCTGTAATCCCAGCACTTTGGGAAGCCGAGGCAGGTGGATCACTTGAGGCCAGGAGTTTGAGACCAGCCTGGCCAACATGGCAAAACCCCATCTCTACTTTAAAAAAAAAAACCACATAAATTAGCTGGGCATGGTGGTGTGTGCCTGTAACCCCAGCTACTTGGGAGGCTGAGGCACAAGAATTGCTTGAACCTGGGAGGCAGAGGTTGCAGTGAGCCGAGATCACGGCGCTGTACTCTAGCCTGGACGACCCCGCAAGACTGTCTCAAAAAAAAAAAAAAAAAAAAAGCCGGAATCTCACTATGTTGCCCAGGCTGGTCTCGAACTCCTGGGCTCAAACGATCTGTCCGCCTTGGCCTCCCAAAGTGCTGGGATTATAGGCATGATCCACCATGCCCAGCCTCGATTTTTAAAGTTTCTATAGAAGCATGTGAATTTTTAAAAAAATCCTTTGATTTCATGTCTCAGGAATCTGTTTAACTCAGCAGCTCCTCAGTACCAAACAATCATACTCCCACAGTACAGGATTTTAAATTAAATATTTTGAGGGCTTTTTTAAAATAGTGATTTATATAAACACCTATCCTGACCCTTGAAATAATATTTCTCAAACTGTCTTTCTTTAAACGCTTCATGTGAGCTATTTGAGTTCAGCCAGAAATTTGGACAGTTTATCTTCCCACAAGTAATACAAGTTTAAAATGTGGTAGTTTGAACAAAAGGAGAACAAGACAAATATACTGGATTAAAATCAAGTGAACTTATTTCAACAAGTCACTCTCTGTAGAGCAGTTCCTAAACTTTAGCAAGGTTCAGAATCACCTGGAGGACCTGTTAAAAACAGACTGCTTGGCCCTAACCCCAGAGTTTCTGACTGAGTAGGTCTGAATATTTGCATTTCTAACAAGCTCCCAGATGATGCCGATCCGGCTGGTCTGGGGAACCTCAGTTAGAGAATCACTGCTGTAGAGTCTCATGAAGTATACTGCCTGAAATAAAAATTGTAACATGTCAAAAGTTCTCTAATTAGAAACACATATCTAAATATATGTAAGCAAATACTCTCTTGCCTAACATTGTATTAATTAGTTACTGGAAGTAAATTATTTCAGAGAAATATGGTACCACCGGATTTTCACCAATTATTACAACAACGTAGGTTAAAACATTCTTCGAAAGGTTAAGTTTACCAGCTAGAAATTACTAAGATAAGCAACAGCAATAAAGTACTTAAAGCAGAAAAAAGTATGATCCTGAATAACTTATAAAATGAAAAGATTAGTTCCTTAATATATTTAAACTAAATTCTATTTGCATCCATCTGGCAGTAAAATTAACACAGTATGCCTTTATTTTAGAGCATACCTAAAGTGGAATCATGACTTCACCAAACTACTTAGCTCATATGACATTGGCTGAGCTAATGAGTTAATGTTTCTCCTGCCTTAAAACAGACAGTTCCAATATAGCAAAGCTTTAAAATGCTTTGTAATGTTATTCTCCCTTCCATGAAACTAGTAACGCATCAAATTGTAAGAACAGTAATGAATAAATTTTCAAAAAAGAATCCAGAAACTTCTGAGAGAGAAAAAATTTGAAAACTTAAAATTCTTTTCTCACCTGGATTCAGATGGAGTCTTATTGGATGTGATAAGGATGCCCTAACCAAAACCCAAGGGCATAAAAGAGCAATGAAGCCTCTTAGATAAAATCCCTATTGCACATAGAAATAGACATTCTGGAAGACTCTGTCAGGCATAGAGGGCAATGATCCAAAAATAGTTCTAGGTTTTCTCTGAGATGGCAAACACTGCAAACTTTCTGGAGCTAGACATTCTGGTTGTCAGCTTACGTCCTAAAGTACTAGCATGAAAATATAGTTCAACCAAACACTAAAAGAAAGCATCATTTTCCCTCAAACCTGCAAGAATCATGGCTCATAGGATGAACGCACAATCACTCCAGGCCAGGGTTTCTCATCCTCAGCACTATTAACATTTCAGGCTGGATAATTCTTCTTTATGGGGGGACCATCCTGAGCATTATACATTATTCAGCAGTATCCCTAGCCACTATTCACTAAATGCCAGCAGCACTCCCCAGCTATGACAATCAAAAATATCTCCAGACATTGCCCAATGTTCTCTGTGAAGCAAAACTACCCCTTATGGAGAACTACTGCCGTAGCTCAAAATCAAGAACAGCAGTAAATTGAAAATGTTTACAAATAATCTAAGTTTTGGATGGAACAATTATCTGGCCACAATGCCTCATAAAACTCAAGCATTCAACAAATGTTAGCCACTATTATTATCATTTTGTATGTGTACATGGCTGCCTAGTGTGTTGGCAGTAACAGGAGTCTGAACTCACTTCCTGTAATAGTTAACAAAAACGTTTAGAAACTTTGGAGGGAGGAATCGTCTCTTAGAGTCCCACCAGTGCTGCATATTGGGACGCTCATGGGAAGCCATAATTTATATCCCAAATGGTAAAAAAGTATGCCACAATTCATATTAAACACAACACACAAACATGTACACACATGCATACATACACATAAAGGGGAAAAAGATGCTAAAAGTTGACCTACCAACCTCAAAGATCTCTAATACTCAAGTGAGACGCATACAAATGATCTTTGACAGGTATGATAAACAAGTTTCCAGGGAAAAGTGATTTTTAAAAATCAGCCAATTCAGCCCCAGCTTATACTCTTTAAGTTTACACCAAATGATTCAAGGAACATGTAAGGGTCCTTTATTCTTGTAACAGACCTTCACACTAAAAATTAGGTTAACTAAAAACCTGAATATAAGTAATTTAGTAATGTCTTTAAATTAACATTATTATATTAGAACCTAGAAATACAACTAGTATTTGGTATAATCTTATAAACACACTTTAAACATTTTATTTAAAATTTTTAAATAAATTCGGATTCAATAATCAATAATCTGCCTTCAAAAGGTTTCCCTCACTCAGGCAATACAATGTCTTTTAAGGAAGTTAAAAGTTTTATAAACTAGTTACAAGATAATTGAATGCAGGAAGCTACTATATATGAAAAAAAAGTTTCCACTCAAAGCAAGGATCTTAATCTCCAGTCACAGGGGAAGATAAATAACTTACTGCTATTTCCCTAGTGCTCTGGTTACCCATTCCCACACCAACTGCTGTAAGAAGGTACATCTGTCCCCAACTAAGTCTATTTCTTGCAAAAGTTGGTGAAGAATCTGTACTAATTTTCCTTTCAATGTTTGGCAGAATTCCCTAGTTAAACCATCTGGGCCTTTGCTTTACCTTGTAGGTGGCTTCTTAAAAAAATAATAATTAACTCAATCTCTTTATTTGTTATAGGTCTATTTACATTGTCTTTTTTTTTTAAGTCAATTTTGGTAGTTTGTATCTTTCTAGAAAGTTGTCCATCTCATCTAAGTTATTTAATTTATTGGCATACAGCTGCTACTATTCCTTTACACTCCTTTTTATTTCTGTAAGATTGGTAGCAGTGTCTCCTCTTTCATTTCTAATTCTAGTAATCTGTGTTTTGTTTTTTCTTAGACAATCTAGCTAAATATTTTGGCAAAATTGTTGATATTTTCAAAGACCCAGCTTTTGATTTAACTAATTTTGATTTAACTAGTTTTTCTTTTATTTCATTAATTTCTTCTTGAACCTTCATTATCTCCTTTCTCTGCTTGCTTTAGGTTTAGGTTTGCTCTTTTTTCAGTGTCTTAAGGTAGACGGCTGTATCAATTTGAGATTTTTCTTCTTTTTTAATAGACATTTACAATTACAGATTTTCCTCTAAGCACTACCTTAACTGCACCCATAAGTTTAGTATATTATTTCTTCATTTTCATTAATCTCATAGTATTTTCCAACTTTACTTCTGATTTCTTCTTTCACTCACTAGTTACTTTAGGAACATGTTCCATTTCTACATATTTTTAAGTTTCCCAAATTTCTTTCTGTTGGTTGCTCATTTCATTCTATTGTGCTTTGAAAACATGCTTTGTATTATTTCTTTTTAAATGTAATAAGGTTTCTTTTACAGTGTTGCATATGGTGTTTCCTAGAGAATATTCCGTTTGCACTACAGAAAAATCCATATTCTGCTACTGTTGGATAGTGTTCTGCTACTCTTGGATAGTGTCTGTTTGGTCTGGTTGACTTACAATGCTGTTCAAGTCTTATATTTCCTTGTTGATCATCTGCCAAGTTGTTCTATCCGTTAATGAAAGAGGGGTATTAAAGTCTGCAACCATTATTTTTAAATTGCCTCTTTCTCCCTTTATCAGTTTTTGCTTCATACTATTTTGGAGCTTTGTTGTTAGATGCAGATATTCACAATTTACAATTATTATGTCTTCTTAATGAACTGCAATTTTTTTATGAATATAAAATGTCCCTTTTTAGCTTCAGTAACTTTTTTTTGTTTTAAAATCTATTTTGCCTGATATTAATATAGCCACTCCAGCTTTCTTATGGTTATAATTTGCATAATAAATCTTTTGTCATCCTTTTATTTTCAATCCATATATTTGAATCTGAAGTGTGTCTCCTGTAGAGAGCATAGAGTTGAGTTCTGTATTTTTTATCCAGTCTGACAATCTCCAGTCTCTGCCTTTTTAAAATTTTTGTAAACAGGGTCTTGCTATGTTACCCAATCTGGCTCTTAACTACTGGGCTCAAGCAATCCTCCCATCTCAGCCTCCTGAGTAGCTAGGACTACAGGTGTACTTTACCACACCTGGATTCTAACTTCTGAATTGACTGTTTGATCCATTTACATTAATTGTCATTATTGATATAACTAGATTTTGACCTGCTAATCTACTTTTTGTTCTGTGTGTATCTCATGTTTTTGTTTCTCCATTCCTCCTTCTTTATTGCTTTCTTTTTGCATTACATCAATATTTCCTAATGTAGCATTTTGTCATTGATTTTCCTTCATGTTTGCTCTAGGGCTTCCCATATACATCTTATCAGATCCAGCTTCAGATTTATGCTAACTTAATCACACTGAGATGTGAAGATGTTACTCCTATATAGCTCTATTTCCTTTTCCTCCTTTTTGTGATATCACTGTTTTATACATCTATAAATGTTATAAGCTGAACAATACTTGTTATAGTTATTACTTTACATAATTTTACAACTTTTTTAAAAGCTGAGAGAATAAAAAGAGCAAAGGGAGTTTGCTCTTTTTTACTGTTTCTGGTTCTCCTTGTTCCCGTGGCTTCAAATTACCATCAAGAGTCATTTCCTCAGTTAAGTAGTTTTGTGCCAACAAATTTTCCTCACACTGTAACTGGCAAATATATTGCATTTTAATGTATATGGTCCCAAAGACTATATATATATATATATAGTTTTACACATTTGCTCTTTAAGACAGGGTCTGGCTCTGTTGCCCAGGCTAGCGTACAGTGGTACAATCATAGCTCACTGCAGCCTCAAACTCCTGAGCTCAAGCAATCCTCCCACCTCAGCCTACCAAGCAGCTAGGACTACAGGCATGCAACACTGTGGCTAACTAGTTTTAAATTTTTTTTTTTTTTTGTAAAAACAGAGTCTTACTATGTTGCCCAGGCTGCTCTCAAACTCCTGGCCTCTGGTGATCTACCTGCCTCAACTTCCCAAGGTACTGGGATTTCAGGTTTCAGCCACCATACCCAGCCCACAATTGCTTTTTTTTTTTTTTTTTGACATGGACTCTCAATCTGTTGCCCAGGTGGAGTGCAGTGGCACGATCTCAGCTGACTGCAACCTCCGCCTCCCGGGCTCAAGCGATTCTCCTGCCTCAGCCTCCTGAGTAGTTGGGATCACAGGCGTGAGCCACCACGCCCGGGTAATTTTTGTATTTTTAGTAGAGATGGGGTTTCACCACTGCGCCCAGCCTGCTTTTTAAATCAATTAAGAAATGGAAAAGAAATATGCATTTATACTATCTTTTATAATTATATAATTACCTTCGCTGGTGGTGCTTTTTGTCAATTTTGTGTGTGTGGATTTAAATTACTATGTGGGATCGCCGGCTTTCAGTCCAAGTAACTTCCTTTAGTACTTCTTATTGGTAGTGACAGGAGGCAGTCAAATGCCAGGCAGATAGGGATGGTTCCCTGGTGAAACCCCACTCCCAAGCCAAAGAAAGTTTAAAGCCTGAAAGCCAAGCTACAAGTCAAATCCATGGACTGGATTGAGAACCTGTCTTCCCATTTGGTGCACTTTTCTCTGATTGATCTCTACCCTTCAACTATTTTACATACACCTACTCTTTCCTAATTGGTTTTCTACCCTGCTGTGCCCACCTCTGAGTGGTGCCTCTGCTTTAGCCTTTCTCTGCATACTAGGAAACCAATCAGCACACACTCCCCTATTCTGAGGCCATAAAAACCCTGGACTCAGCCACACTGAGAGAGGGACCACTTCCGTGTCCTCTCTTTGGTGAGAGCTGTTCTGTCATTCAATAAAATTATTCTCCGCCTTCCTCACTCTTCAACTGTCAGTGTATCCCCATTCTTCTCGGATGGGGGACAAGAGCTTGGGAACCACTGAATGTGGGTACAAGCTATAGCACAGGTGAGCTGGGACACCCCTGGTCTAGCTGCAGGCTGTGCTGGTGCACAAGTCAGACTTAGCCCAGGTGGGACAAGTAGACAGGGTGCCCCCCTGCTGTGACCCTGGCAAAGGGGCCAAAAAAAATCCTGTGTCATTGTAAGGCATGACTGCTAGCAACAAATTCTCTGAGTTTTGTTTATCTGTCTGGGAATATTTTTGTTTTGCCTTCTTGTTTTTTGTTTTTTTTTTTGAGATGGAGTCTCGCTCTGTCGCCCAGGCTGGAGTGCAGTGGCACGATCTCGGCTCACTGCAATCTCTGCCTCCCGTATTCACGCCATTCTCCTGCCTCAGCCTCCCGGGTAGCTGGGACTACAGGCGCCCACCACCACTCCCGGCTACTTTTTGTATTTTTAGTAGAGATGGGGTTTCACTGTGTTAGCCAGGATGGTCTCGATCTCCTGACCTCGTGATCTACCCGTCTCAGCCTCCCAAAGTGGTAGGATTACAGGTGTGAGCCACCGCGCCCGGCCTTGCCTTTATTTTTCAAAGACAGATTTCCTGAATACAGAATTCTTGGTTGACAGGTTTGTTTGGTTTTTTCCCCTTTAAGCCCTTGATCTTATCCCACTGCATTCTGGCCTCCATTCTTTCTGATAAGAAGGCAGTTATTAATTTTATTGGGGTTCACTTGTAAGTGATGACATGTTTTTATGTTGCTGCTCTCAAGATTTCCTCCTTATCCTTAACCTATGCCATGATGTGTCTGTGAATCTCTCTGCATTTATTCACTTGGAGTTCACTGAGGGTCCAAGACATATAGATTAATGTTTTTCAATAAACTTGTGAATAAATTTGGCAATGAAAGAAAAATGTTCAGTCCTTCTTCCATTTTCTGTTCTTTTCTGTTCTCTCCTGGTCCTACCATTATGTGTACGTTGGTACACTTCATGGCGTCCCACATTTCTATGAGGTTCTGTTGATTATTCTCCATGCTTTTTTTCTCTTCACACTGCATAATCTCTGTTGATCTATCTTTAAATTAACTAATTCTGTCTTCTGCCAGTACAAATCTGTGACTCAGTCCCTCTAGTGAACTCTTCATTTCAGCCTTAATATTTTTCAATTATAGAATCCCACTTAGTTCTTTTTAATAATTCTGTATCTTTATTGACATTCTCTATTTGATAAAAAATTGTCACCATACATTGCTTTACTTAATAGTGATTTTATTTACTTCTCTGAACATATTTACAATGGCTATTTGAAGTTAATTCCAAAATCTGGTCACTTTTACAGGCAGTTTCTGTTGCCTGCTTTTTTTCTGGTGTATAGCTCATTCTTTGATGTTCTTTACATATCTCACAATTTTTTGTTGGGAACTGACCATTTTATATATTATAGCCACTCTGGATATTGATTGCCCCACTCTGGGGTATGTTACTGTTATTTCTTTAGTCACTGGCTGGATTGTTTTAGTGAAGCATATTTCTCCCAATCTCCCCTCTGTGTGAAGCCCCTCATGTTCCTCCTCAGGAGGCACAGCCTTGGATAGTCCCAAAGTCACCATGAAATGACAGTGGTTTTGGCAGGGCACTCTTTTCCTCTTTCTTTGACCACATCCAGTTGTTAGGCATCACCAATTGCTGGCTGATTACTCCATTGTTTTCAACAATGTGCTGAAGCATAAATTGCTTCACAGGTCAATCAAAACAAATCTGGGTTCCTTTAAAGGAATAGTTTCGGGGGCCAATGTTTGAGATTTGTTCTGACCCCAAAAAGACTCCTCCCAGCTCTTCATTTCCCTGGTTCTCTCCAGCAAACTAGCCCTTCTACAGTTTATTTATCTCCACTGCACCTACCAATCTCCTCCTAACTGTCTCTCACCGCACCCTCCTGTTTTTGAATACTCTTAGGCCTGAACTTCTCCCCAGCAAATGAAGTTAGTTGCTTTAGAAAGAGATTTAGAACTCTGTCTTACAGCATACTTCTCCCCCTAGGCAAGTCTCTATCTCTGGAGCTGGGGAACAATGGTGCACTTCTCTTTGAATGACAACCCAGCTAGAGGACAAAAACACTTTGTGGAGTTGGGGCAACAGCCTCGGGTCTCAACTTGCCTCTCCCAATGTGGAACTGCTGGATTACAAGCTGGGGCATGGGTGACTGTGCCTTCAGTATTCTCAGTGGTACTGTACACAGGTACAGCCTCTGTACCATGAGTAAGAAATAGTTCCTGCCTCTCAGCCCCACTCATCCAGAACTTGACCTCACCAACAGGCCACTAAAAAAAAAAATCTTGATATCCTATTCCTTTGAGAAAGATACCCTCCAACTAGGAAATAAAGGAACAGGTAATCTTGTGTTCTTGGCTGCACCAGTCTGGAGTGAAGTTTCTATCTCAGCAAGCTGGGAAAGAGGAAAAGGAGTGGGTCTTGGTTCAATACCACAGAAATTCAATGTTCTTACCAAGTTTTAGTAGATATTCTTGAATAAATGTCTTTTCATTTGCTATATGTTCTTAGGACCATTTTTCGAGACCAAATGACTGCTTTTTCCAGTTTCACCGGAAAGTGGGTCTACAGAAAGACTCATGCTGTCCTGTTGAAAGTGCACTGTCCCAACTAAATGTATAGCTCAAATGTCTCTTAATGATTTCTTATTGCATCTCCTTCACTGCATTCCTCTTCCACAATCAGAGATAACTACCAGCAACAGTGTGAAGTAGATTTTTTTCCTCATACCTTCAACAAGGAAGATGTACAAACTATAGTTCCACAGATACATCCCATACCACACACCATCGTTCTCCCCAGAACTGAGAGTTTTGTTTTGTTTTGTTTCAAGAAACAGAGTCTTGCTATATTGCCCAAGCTAATCTCCAACTCCTAGGCTCAAGTGATCCTCCTGCCTCCACCTCCCAAGGAGCTGGGATTACAGGCCCCTGCCACTCCACCCAGCTTAAGTTTGTTGCTATTTGTGGTGACCTGCCATTCCTGCCCAGTCTTCAGAGATTTATTTCCTCACTTACAGGATTATTCAAAGCATGGAAAATATTTTTATTTCCAAGTAACCATG
Organism: Homo sapiens; assembly: GCF_000001405.40. Taxonomy (NCBI): domain Eukaryota; kingdom Metazoa; phylum Chordata; class Mammalia; order Primates; family Hominidae; genus Homo; species Homo sapiens. The sequence goes on along the minus strand of NC_000012.12, from coordinate 45,767,430 downwards.
TAAGTAACTAAAAGCATGAATCTTGAAAGAAAAAAAATTGAAAAAAAACAACTTTATAAAAACTAAAAATTCTTCCTTTTTTCACGAGAAAATGAAAGCACAAGCCATAGACTGAGAGAAAATATTTGCAAATCACTTATTGGGTAATATTCAGAATACATAAAGGACTCCAAAATTGAATACAAGGAAAACAACTCAATTTCAAAGGTGCACAAAAGACTTGAACAGGCTCTTCACCAAAGAATATATAAAAAATGCAAATAAGAATATAACAGTACTCAATATGATTAGTCATTAAGGAAAAGCAAATTCTAGCCACAGTAAGATATCACTACACACCTATGAGGATGGCAAAAAATAGATTGGCCATGTTGAGTGACAACATGGATCAACCAGAACTTTCAAACATTGCTGGTGAGAATGTAAAATGTTTGTTATTGTTGTTGTTTTTTGTTTTGTTTTGAGACAGAGTTTCGCTCTTGTTGCCCAGGCTGGAGTGCAATGGCGCGATCTTGGCTCACCGCAATCTCTGCCTCCCAGGTTCAAGTGATTCTCCTGCCTCAGCCTCCCAAGTAGCTAGGATTACAAGCTACTTCTTTAAAAATTAAATATATGCCGGCTGGGCGCGGTGGCTCACGCCTGTAATCCCAGCACTCTGGGAGGCCGAGGTGGGCGGATCACAAGGTCAGGAGATCGAGACCATCCTGGCTAACACGGTGAAACCCTGTCCCTACTAAAAAATACAAAAAATTAGCCAGGTGTGGTGGTGGGTGCCTGTAGTCCCAGCTACTCGGGAGGCTGAGGCAGGAGAAGGGCATGAACCCAGGAGGCGGAGCTTGCAGTGAGCCAAGATTGCGCCACTGCACTCCAGCCAGGGTGACAGAGCAAGATTCTGTCTCAAAATAAATAAATAAATAAAATAAAAAATCTACTCTCCATCATTTTCAAGAATATAATCCACTTGGCCAGGTGGGGTGGCTCATGCCTGTAATCCCAACACTTTGGGAGGCCAAGGCAGGCAGATCACTTGAGGTCAGGAGTTCAAGACCAGCTCGGCCAATATAATGAAACCCATCTCTACTAAAAAATAGAAAAATTAGTCGGGTGTGGTGGTGGGCGCCTGTAATCCCACCTACTCAGGAGGCTGAGGCAGGAGAATCGCTTGAACCTGGGAAGCAGAGGTTGCAGTGAGCCGAGATTGCGCCACTGCACTCCAGTCTTGGTGACAGAGCAAGACTCTGTCTCAAAAAAAAAAAAAGTTAAATATATGCCTAACATATCCAATATATAACATAAAACAATATGTTCATTGTGGTCTTATTTGTAACAACCAAAAATTGGAAATAACTCACATGCCTATCAAGAAGTGGATACCTAAACAAATTATGGTGTATCAATACAATAGAATACTACTCAGCAATAAAATAAAAATGAACTTTGCTATATGAAACAACATGGATCAATTTCAAAATAATTTTGTTGACTAAAAGAGTACAAATTGTATGATTTCATTTATATAAAATCCTAGAAAATGCAAACTAATTTGTTATGAAAATAAACTAACAAATTAGTGGTTGCCTGGGGATAGCCAGAGGTTAAAAAGGGGCAAGAAAAGACTTTTGAGGGTGATGAATATGTTCACATTCATAGCTTGACTGTGTTAATAGTTTCACAGGATACACATGTCGAAACCTACCAAATTGTATACTTTATACAATTCAAAAAGCTAAACTGTACAAAGAACATTTTCAGTTTACTGTACATCAATTATATATCTCAATAATGCTTACTGAAGAGAGAATAAAAAGACAAATCACAGTTTATGTGAAAATATCTGCGAATCACATACTTGATGAAGGACTTCTACCCAGAATATTTTGAAGAACTCACAAAATTCAATTAAAAAAAAAAAAAAACCGAGGCCAGGTTCAGTAGTTCAAACCTCTAATTCCAACACTTTAGGAGGCTAAGGCAGGAGGATCACTTGAGCCCAGGAATTCAAGACCAGCCTGAGCAACATGATGAGACACCATCTCTACAAATAGTTTACTTTTTAATTAGCCAGGATTGGTGGCGTGTGCCTGCAGTCCCAGCTACTTGAGAGGCTATCATGGGAGGATCACTTGAGCACAGGAGTCGAGGCTGCAATGAGCCAAGATTGTGCCACTGCACTCCAGCCTGTGTGACAGAGAGAGACCTTGTCTCAAAAAAAAAGAAAAGAAAAAGAAAACAACCCAATAAAGAAATGGGCATGAGATCAAATACTTAGTTACTTCACCAAAGAATATATACAGTGGAAAAAAACATATATTAAAAATGTTCACATTCATTAGTCATTTAGGGAAATGTAAATTAAAAGAACAATGAGATATTATTACACATCTTTTAGAATGGCTAAAATTAATTTAAAAATTAACAATATCAAATGCTAGCAAGGTTGAGGGACAACTGGAACTCACATATTGCTAATGGAAACACAAAATAGTTCAGCCATTCTCAAAAACAGTTTAGCAGTTTCTTATGAGATCAAATAAATATTTAAGGTATAACCCAGCAATTTTACTCCTTGGTATTTACTCAAATTAAGTGAAAATTTCTGAAAAACTTATATGCGAATGTTTATAGTGTTTTTAATCACCAAAGACTGGAAGCAACCAAATTATTCATCAACTAAAAAAGAATAAAGAATCTTCAGTATATCCACACAACAGAACACTACTTAACAACACAAAAGAATGAATTCTGATAGAGGCACTATGTATAAATCTCAGATGTACTGTACTAAGAAAAAGAAGCCAGGCTTAAAAGGCTTCATACAGTATTATTTCATTTATATCACATTCTTGAAAAAGCACATTTGTAAGGGTATAAAACAGATTAGCGGTTGCCAGAGACTGAAGATGGAGAGCTGGACTGACTACAAGGGACAGAAGAATGTGAGGGGTAACACAACTGTTCTACATCTTCATTTTGGTGGTTCTTACACAACTGTTTGCATGTGTCAAAACTTGCAAGGCAGTACTAAAATGGGTGAATTTTACTGTGTGTAAATTATATTTAATAAAAAGGGGGGAATGATTTCACTACTTAAGTAATGTCAAGCAAAAAAAACAACTCCAACAACATAGAGTTAGCAATTTTCTAATCTGTGTTCTTTCACACAATCACTGTTTCGAGTTCCACCACCAAGTATAACTATAATCAGGAAGCAAAAGATAAGGGTAGAAAATTTGCCTTTTTTATGTAATAAAAAATAAAGGTTAATTACTAAAATAATTTTAATAGTTAAGTGTACTAGTCTTAAATGAAAAAGTAGTTACGTCCATAGATAAGTCTAATATTAAAAAAAAACTAGTTGAGAAATGGTGATCACATAAACTGCTTAAGGAAGCAGGAATTATTTCTCATTTATTTTCTGTTTTTACATCTGAATATAAAACATACAAGCACACAATGAATAAACAGCTTTTCAGTGATCCTTTCTATTTGCAATTTTCTATAAATATTAAATACTCTAAAAATTAAATGGCTCTGTATAATCATCCCAAACATAACACTGAAACCAAAAAACAAACAAAAACCATTAACGATATAAAAATTGCAAATTCTCTAGGTCTCAGTTCCCTCAACAATAACAATCAGCCAGGCACAGTGGCTCACACCTGTAATCCCAACATTTTGGGAGGCCAAGGTGGCGGCATCGCTTGAGGCCAGGAGCTGAAAACTAGTCTGAGCAACACAGAAAAGCCCTGTGTCTACAAAAAAATTTTAAAAAAAATTTTTTTTTTTTTGTAGTCCCAGCTATTCAGGAGGCTGAGGTGGGATGATCCCTTGAGCAGAGTTCAAGGCTGCAGCCTGGGTGACAGAGACTTTGTGTCTGAAAACAATAACAACAGTAACAATCTCCTCCAATTATTTCCCTCTTCCACAGGCAAAACATTTTATGACCTTTTTTTTTTTTGAGTCTGAGTCTCACATTGTCACCTGGGCTGGAATGGAATGGAGCGGTCTTGGCTCACTGCAACCTCCGCCTCCTGGGTTCAAGTGATTCTCCTGCCTCCACCTCCCCGGTAGCTGGGATTACAGGTGCCTGCCTCCACGCCCGGCTAATTTTTTGTATTTTTAGTAGAGACGGGGTTTCACTATGTTGGCCAGGCTGGCCTCAAACTCCTGACCTCATGATCCACCCGCCTTGGCCTCCCAAAGTGCTGGGATTACAGGCGTGAGCCACCGCACCTTGCCTCACATTTTATGACTTTAATGGAATTTACTATTACTAAACTATATTGAACATAATTTTTGTTTTGAAGAATAGTAATACACAATTCTTATAAACCTATTAAGTTAAAACTTCTCATTGGAGAAATAATCCTGGTCTTATCCCAACATTACATACATAAAACACTTAGCACAGTATCCAAGACACAATAAGCACCCAATAAATAGTAGCTGTTATAGATCACAATACTTTAAAAGTCAGTTATATTTCTATCACAAAAGGTTTTTTAAATATACTGTAACCAGAATAGCACAATTTGATGCATGAGGAAAGAGACAGAAATTGTTAAAGATAAACTTGTTCTCTTATCTCTTCATAAAACCACTTTAATACCCTAAGATGTTCTGAGAATTCCAAAGAAATTTAATCATTTATAGCTATTACCTTTAGAAGTAAGATATAGGTTTTGGTTTCTGAAAAGTTAAGAGACTAGCACCATCTGCTGGTATGCTGGCTTATTCCTATGAATCCCACTCTACAGATGACGCTGAGGTAATATAAACATTGCTGGATCTCAAAAACCAGTTCAACAACACTTGAAGACATTGATAATGGTAGGGCATCTTTAGGGATGCACAGAGCACATGAAAGCCAGAGTCTACTCACTGATGGGAAGTATAAACTAGGGTTAAAAATTCTACTTGGGTATACTTTTTACTAGGCTGAATTTTCTTATGCAGATTATTGCCTATGCTATCACTACTTTAGTGTAGAACCTAATCAGCAGTGACAGTGAGATACCAGACTAAAACAAGATAGCAGAGAGGGAGGTGCCCTACTTATGTAAGCAGTGCCTACGGACAAGTGTCCCTAAGAAACAGGAGAGAGCCACATGTGAGAAAAACACCAAGTATGGCTGAGCTCGGTGTATGTCCATCTCTCACTCTCTAAATATACCAGCATTTTATGATTATAGAAGATTTAGCAAATGGGAAAAATTAAAGAGATATTTAAGAAGCATTAATATGGGAAAGGGAAACACATACTGACAAGAAATAACCTCATTCAAGAAAAATCAGAACTAATCAAAAAAAACTTTAAACAGTCATAATAAATAGCCTCAGGCAGACATGAAAAAATATCAGAAATACAAAGCAGGAATAAGCAGTTAAGAGAAAGAAAATATTGGCTGTAAAAATATATATAATTATTGCAATGAAGAATTTTAAAATGGTTTGAATAAGAAAATGAACAGAGTTGATTTAAGAATTAATCTAGGAAATGTTCCAAAGGGTCTCAGAAAGCGACAAAAAGATGAATAAAGCGCTAGTTAAAATATGGTGGGGAAAGTAGTATTAGTGTAAATATCTACCCAAAAGGAATTCTATAAGCAAAGAAAATAAACGAAGAAGAATTTGAAAAAATGACAGAATTTTGCAGAATTCACAATATGAAATCTCAGATTGAAATGGCTTAAAGTGCTAAGGAGAAAAGATAAGGAAAAAAAAAAGTCCATACCTAAATGTACTGGAGTAAAATGTAAGCCTTTCAAAGACAAAATTTTAAAAGCTTCTAGCAAGAGGAGCAGGGGCAACATCACCTAAAAAAGAGCAGGGTCAAACTGATACCAGATTTCAGAACACCACCAGGACAGGAAGAGGACAATAAAACATTACCCTATCCTCAAAATATTGAGGTAGAAAAACAAATCCATGCTTAGAATTTTAAATCAAGGTAAATTATCACTTAATTGTGAATGGTAAACATATTATAGGCAGACAATGCCTCAATGTTTACCACAAAAAAAAGACCTTCTTTCAAAGAACATTTGAAAAATGTAATCTAGTCAAAAAAGAAATATATCCAGAAGAAAACAACAAAATATGGGAAGGAAAAAATTTTAGAAGATGTATTGTTATCTTAAAACAAGTGTATTCATAAGAATAAATAATTAAAACATCACATCACCCTATTTCAAGAAAGTAGGGGTGCAGTGTGGAGAGTATGCTAAACTTCTTGGAATTTGTTGGGCAAGGAAGGGAGAAGAGAAAGATTCAACTTGGACACTGAAGGGATATGATATAAAATGGCAGAGCTAAGTTCTAACATAGAAATAATCACATTAAATTCTAATAGGTTAAACTCAGAAGACATATTCTCAGTTTAAGTGTAAAACAACAATCCAGGCCAGGAACAATGGCTCACATCTGTAATCCCAGTGCTTTGTGGGGCCAACATGGAAGGACTGCTTAAATCCAGGAGATTCGGGCTCCAGTGAGCTATGATCGCACCACTGCACTCCAGCCCAGGCAACAGAGCCAGACCCTATCGCTAAAAACTAAATAAAAATTAAATTTAAAAATTAAGTTAAAAATCCAAAATAAATAAATAAAACCAGGATCCAGCAAAGCTGAAAAAAATAAAGAAACAAAAAGGTACCTAAAAAATATGAACCAAAATAAACCCACCATAGTATCAAAAGAATTTAAATTCAAAGGCAAGGGCAATAAAAGACAAATGGAAACATATACCGGTAAAAAAGCAAATGTGAATATACACAGATACACATATATACAGCCTCAACATACATAAGCAACAACTTATGTATAGATACACATATATACAGTCTCAATGTACATAAGCAACAACTAAAAATCTGTGTGCAAAAACACAAAAAAACACAAAAAACACAAAAGAAACACAAAAACACCAAAAAAACACACACGCAGAAAAAACAACTAAAAATCTGTGTGCAAAAGAGATTAACAATTCTAATTAGACGTTGTTAACAAGCCTTCAGAAAATGACAAAAAAAATTTAAAAACCTCAAAATTTGAAAAATGCCACTTTGAAAGTCTGATATCATATGACGTATGTGACATCACAATAAACATAAAATATATTCTTTTTGAGCTTACACAGAACATTCATAAAAACTGACCATATAATAGCCCAAAGAGACACTTCAATTACCTTCCCAAATCAATGAAATACAGACTCTGTACACAAAGTATAGAGCAATAAATTAAAATCAACAACCAAAAGAGAGCTTTAAAAATATTATATCTGGAAATTAAGCTGTTAATTAAAGAAAAAATTCTGATTATAATACTTTGAGATGAATGACAAAATTCATGTCTTTGCTATTCATGCAGCGTTAACAAAAAAGAAAATGCATGTCAAAGTATGTAAAATCTAGCTTAAGCCTAAAGAGAAATTAATTTGAAAAGATCAGAAAATAAGAATCATTTAAAACATACTTAAGATACTATCAAATAATATCATATACATGAAAAGGTGCTTGTTAAACTATAAAATCTCCCAAATGTACAACCTTATTTTTATATGCACTTAGGCCAGGCACGCGCTTGCATGCCTGTAGTCCCAGCTACTAGGCTGAGATGGGAGAATCACTTGAGCACAGGAGATTGAGACCAGCCTGGGAAACAAAGTGAAACCCCATCTCAATCAATCAATCAATTGGTGCAATTAAAATTTCCTAAATTTAATTTTAGTTGGAACTCCCTATAAAAATTATTACACTAAATGGAACTAATTCCTAGGTATGTGTTTACATACGAGAGATATGAGATCTAAAAAAACGAACGGACATAGCTGAATATACATATTTTCCTCTATTTCAATAAGATAAGTACACCAATTACCTTTACAATTTTAAAACTGAGAATTTGGGAAGAAGACCTAAAATCTCCTAGATCATATTGCAATTTAAGTGGACCACTGCATCACTAAGTCATCATTTTTCCCTTTCATGGAAAACAACTGTAATCAAAAGTGCTCATTTTAATAAACCATTACTTTGCTATTACATTTTTGATAGACAGTCTGTACATCAAGTATCTGCATGCCAAATAATATTATCTCATTATATTCCTATATGTGCACATATACACATATACATATCACCAATTTAAAAACTCAATATACATTCAGACATCCTGGGGAACTGAATGCTTCATACACTGAAAATTCTTACACCCATAAGTTACTCATTTACAGAGAACTAGAATACAATATACTTAAAAAGTAATTTCTATAAAGTACAATCTATTATTTACGTGAAAACATAGAAAACACTTCAGCATTTGGAAAAGCATATCAGAATAATTAATAACAGCCTGCTAAATACCTCTATTCTCCCTATAAATATATATATTAATATATACATACACATATGTGTGTGTGTGCGTGTCTTTTATCACAACAGAAGTTTCAGCAGGACATATCTGATATGACTTTTTTAGGTGTTCTCTAAGGCTTACTACATGATCAATTTTTATTAATGGTCTGTGAAATCTCAAAGACTACATTTCCCAGTCTCCCTTGTGTAACAAGGTTCTGACCAGTGGAATGTGAATAGAAAAGACATATACAACTTTCAAGGTGTACCCTTAGAAAAAGTGCTTCTTCTCTCTTTTACTCTGCCCTGCTAGCTGGAAGGAGGATGTACTGGCAAGTACTACAGCAGGCATCTTAGACCATGAGATGGAAACCATTAAGGAGGAGGATAGGAAAGAATAAGGCCCAAGGGCTCCACAAAGCTACATTATCAGTCCTAGACTATTTATGTTTGGACTGTTATATCAGAGAGAAACAAATTTAAGATTTGTTAAGCCATTGTTACTTAATTTTTGGGGCAGCTATAAAACCTGTAGCCTAACATTTGGAACACCAACTATTATCTTGTAGAGCAGGGGTGTTCAATCTTTTGGCTTCCCTAGGTCACACTGGAAGAAGAATTGCCTTAGGCGACACATAAAACTAACACTAACAATCGCTGATGAGCTTAAAAAAAAGTCGCACAAAAAAAAAATCGATCGCACAAAAAAAAATGTCATAATGTTTTAAGAAAGTTTACAAACTTGTGTTGGGCCTCATACAGCCCACGGGGCTGCATGTTGGACAAGCTTGTTGTATAGAGTTATTAGAAAGTCTATGAAGTTGGACTAAATCTACCCTTACTTAATGAAATGCCTTTAATGTTTGTTTTCCATATTAATAATTTCATAAAAAATGCCCACCTATTTATCTTTTACATTTTTCTCAAGAAAAAAGTATGTAATATGTCGAGAAACTGTAAGCATCCTGCTTATTTAGGTTCCAGAGAAACAAAACTTTGTTGTCTCGAAAAATCGCTTTGTTGTCTCAAAGAATCCTTTTGTCTTCACAGGGAATTCATAAATGACTATTCATTTTTGTGATCTTTGCATATTCACCTAAAGGAATTTATTAGAAAATATTGGACAGCAAATATTTAGAGAAATACTGGAGTTAACGGATAATTGAAGCAAGCACCATGTCTATTCCACCAGTTCAAGAATAAAAGATAATTCAACAACTTACAGATCTAATTGAAATGCATTCTCAAACTGCATTCACATGACAAAAGTGTGAAGAATTTGCACTGAAGTGTTGAAATCTAATCCTAAGAACTAACCGTATGAAATATTTGCTAATTCACTAATCAGGGTTCATAATCTTCAGACTTTTTTAAACGACTCCTCTCAAGGCACCCTACTATGCCCTAGTAATGAATGTTAACTGTTTTTACTCTTCTAGTGCATTCTAAATAAATTCCACTAAAACTTGGCTTCTCCTTTTTTCTCAATCAAGCTCTCTGTGATCATGATCAATCATCCCAGAACTAGAAGGGCAATGGGCTTTCACATCTGTCTCAGTAAGTTAAACATTTTTCAAGACTATCCCAGTTGGGTCCATTTTATCTAGCAAGTTTGTGTACTGACGGCAACATTTCCTAAAACTTCACATTTACCCTGTGAGTGATACGTATGCTAGGGGCTGGTGAGGTCAGGAGTGGGAAGAGATGGGACAATATGTGCTCAAATGTGTTTGGGAAATTCTGTGGACAGTCAGAAGATACATTATAAGCATATTAGTTTGAGAAGTGTTGCAGAAAAGAACGATGTTTAACTGTTTTTCCAAATAGTATTTAAGTACAGAACACATTTTCCACAGTCCACCTACTTAACAGTTTGGGAATGCTGGCCTAGGGATCTTTGCAAAGAAAACCAGTCCTTAGTCAATCATCCAAAATTGTACAATGAAAGGGGATTTGATACTTCATTAGGAGCTTAAACTCCTTTTCCTTATAATAATGATTCAGAGAAAGGAACAAGCTGAGATTTTTCCCTTAATTCAGGCTGCAGTTTACAAAGATGAATACTCCTTGCATTGCAAGGAGACTATTCCTGAACTTGCTGTGAATACCATGAAAAGAGCTCCACATTTTGTTTATATTACAACCGCCTCTGCTCTTTTTTTTCTTTTTTTAGAGGCAGAGTCTCATTCTGTTGACCAGGCTGGAGTGCAGTGGCACTATGCCAGCTTACTGCAGCCTCAACCTCCCAGGCTCCAGGGATCCTCCCACCTCAGCCTCTCAAGTAGCTAGGACTAAAGGCGCATGCCACCACACATAGCTCAAGCAATCCTCCCGCCTCAGCCTGCCAAAATGCTGGCATTACAGGCATGAGCCACTGTGCCCAGCCTCCTCCACTCTTCTAAGCAAAAGCAAACCCATGCCTTGAATGTTACAGGTAGGGAAGTTTGGGAAAAATTAACTTCATTCTAAATGCTGGATTTTCATCATTTGAGAATATCTGTCCTCTAATTGTGGTTGCAATGTTGTCAGTTACATATTCTTTGCATATTAATTGAAGGTGAGTTAGAGTGGAAGCAATTTTTATTAGTCTCAACCTTTGTGATAGCTATTTAAAAATCACTTCTAAAGGGAAAAAATATAGAAATGTCCAAACCAAATCAAATCAGCTTAATGTTAAAATAAGATTCTAAGTAACAAAAAAGCCCTTCCAGAAGAATTTTAATAAGATATGATGCTAAGTACATCCCAGTAGATAATTCTCCCCACTCCCAAGTATCTTTCCTGAACAGTCCCTTTTTCTTAACCACATGCACTAGCCACACAAATGTGTGTCCAGGAATATCCAAAGTTAGAAAATGTATTCTAGGCTGGGCGCGTTGGCTCATGCCTGTAATCCCAGCACTTTGGTAGGCTGAGGTAGGAGGATCACTTGAGGCCAGGAGTTCGAGACCAGCCTGGCCAACATGGTGAAACCCCATCTCTACTAAAAATGCAAAAATTGGCCAGGCGTGGCAGCACACACCTGTAATTCCAGCTACTCCGGAGGCTGAGGCACGAAAATCGCTTGAACCTGGGAGGCAGAGGTTGCAGTGAGCCGACTTCACGCCACTGCACTCCAGCCTGGGTGACAGAGTGAGACTCTGTAACAAGAAAAAACAAAAAGTATTCTAAAGAACTCTGAAGGTTTCAAATATGTGTATCTATCTTCTGTTCAGCCTGTTTCTGTCATTTGTAGATATACTTATCCCACTAGGCTCTATCTCACATGGTTCAGAAGAATAGAAGACAATGTTGCCAAATTATTCAGAGAGAAGTGCTGAGTTCCAGAGCTTGTTTAAAAAAAAAGTGAGCTCAGAGATGAAGTTGTAAAAAGTTCCTTCCAGCACAGAGGAAGAAGATAAACTGAATTAATAAGCTACATGTAATCTAAAATTTTACATGATTATGAACAATGGTGGACCTACACTCAAATAAAATATAGAACAGTTTATCCAATTTCCTAGTAAGTAGAATTCTCTATTAACCTGTTCTTCTGTAAATCAACAGTTCAATGACAAGTGATACTTACAACGATAAGCCTAAAGATACCACAGATTCTGAAGTACTTTCTGAATGTGACTTCCTTGTCTAGTATTTTTAAAGAAGTATTAGTTCACATTTATCTTAATATTCTATAAAAATAATCTCATTCTCTGACCAAGCTGGGCAGGTGTGTTTGCCATTCCTGCCACTACTTCCTCCTATCTCAAACCTATCCCACATACCAATGTAAGATTAATGTTCCCAAAACATCACTTTCATCAAAACAGTGTTCTGCTAAAAAACAAACAAATAACAACTACAAAACCTCCCCCAAATCTCACATCCTCACTATATGCAGAATAAAGCTCAAATATGTTAATTTGATTTTCAAAATCCTCCACAGTCTAAAACCAATTTTTGGTCCAGGTCTTATATTCCACCAATCACATGCGTTAACGCCTCCGATGCAGCAGAGTTCATTTACATGTTTAAAATACACTGTACAGACTCTCATTTTCCATTTTCCTCATATCTAAAAAGTCCCCCATCTTCCTTTTTATTGTTTCTATCTGAATCCAACCAGTCTTTCAATGTCAAGCTTGAGGGCTCTTCCATAGGCCCCTCTCTATCTCAAACAAAAGTGATTTCCTACTTTTCTTATTTCCAATTATCCTTGCAAGCATTCATTCATTGATTCTATTAGCCACACATTAGGTAACTCCTATGCACTAATTAGTATTGTGTTATGATGTTAGGGCTACTAAAATACACAATACTAAGTCCCTACCTCCTCAGGCTCACAGTTCACAGAAGAAACAGACAATAAAAAAGTTGTTATAGTAGTGTTTGTAATAGAGATATAAATGAGGAGGAAAGTGGGATTATAAAGAAGGATCTACTTCAAGCTGCTTGATGAGATAAGAAAAGGCTTTTTAGAAAAGGTGACATTTGTGTTCAATTTCAAAGATAGGTAGGAGTATGTCAGGCAATGAAAAAAGGAAAGGAATTCCAGACAGGGAAAATGGCACATGCAAAGGCAGAAAGGTGAGAAAAACTTGGCATGCTTGGAGAACTATAAATGGATCAGCATGGCTGGATCTAATTCTACTAACTAATTCTACCAACGTGTACTGACTGTTCATTAACCAAGCTTTAAAACAGAAAAAAAGACATAGTATCTGTCTTCAAAAGATGTGCAAGGGTATGGCAAGGAGATTAAGAATGGAAAAGTAATGAAGGGCCTTTTACGACCTACTAATATATTTGGACTTTCTTCTTTAGCAATAGAGAGCCACTGAAGAAATGTAAGCACTTACCTGCATCACTCAGCCCTCTTTTTTTATTATTTTTTTGCCTGATACTATTACTTATGCATTCAAGTGAATGAAATGCTTCTATAAGATTCAACAGTTTGTTTTTTGAAACAACTAAACCAGAATGTATTCATTCCAATGAACATTATTTTCCAAGTAATCACCTTGTTGAAATCATAAATGTATTTCAATGATACTATTAGTTAAAAATAACTTTTTAGTAGTTGCTTTAGAAATGACATCAGATATAGCCAGAAGCATCACAAATCTTAGTACTTCATCATGTTGAAAATGGCAAAAGTCACTAAGAGCTAAATTTGGCAAATAAGGTGGGTAAGCAAGTTGTTGTTATGGGGGCTCATGCCTATAATTCCAGCACTTTGGAAGGCCAAGGAGGGCAGATCGCTTGAGTCCAGGAGTTCGAGACCAGCCTGAGCAACACAGGGAGACCTCGTCTCTACAAAAAATACAAAAATTAGCCAGGCATGGTGGCACGTGCCTGTAGTCCCAGCTATTCGGGAGGCTGAGGTGGGAGGATCGCTTGACCAAAGGTTGCAGTGAGACGCAATCGCACTATTGCACTCCAGCCTGGGCGACAGAGCGAGACCTTGTCTCAAAAAAAGAAAAAAGAAACCTGGATTATGTTTTAGATCAATTACAGGATCAGCAGAAAATAATAAAAATTTGCATTTATAGATTAAACTATATACCAGACACTACATATACTAATGTATTTACCACTCAAAACAACTCTATAAGGTACACACTTTATTATCTACTTTTTACAGGTGAAACTGTGCAGAGTAACTTGCCCAAGGTCACAAAACTGACTGAATGGAGAAGGTGAAATCTGAACCCAGATAGTGTGCCTCCAGAGCCAACTCCTAAATCACTACGCTACAGACCATCATGAGGGGGGAAACACTTTTTTTTTTTTTTGAGATGGAGTTTCGCTCTTGTTGCCCAGGCTGGAGTGCACTGGCACAATCTTAGCTCACTGCAACCTCTGCCTCTGGGTTCAAGTGATTCTCCTGCAACCTCTGCCTCTGGGTTCAAATGATTCTCCTGCCTCAGCCTCCCGAGTAGCTGGGGTTACAGGCATGCGCCACCACACCCAGCTAATTTTGTATTTTTAGTAGAGACAGGGTTTCTCCATGTTGGTCAGGCTGGTTGTCTTGAACTCCCGACCTCAGGTGATCCGCCCGCCTCAGCCTCCCAAAGTGCTGGGATTACAGGCATGAGCCACCACGCCCAGCTGGAAAAAAACTTTTAATGAACAAATTTAATAAAACTTTATAGCATGACTCAAACTGACTCTTAAGAGTAAACTACATGATGTCTTTACAGAACAACAGTATCCCCGATGACTTCCTCTCAAGATAACTGTAGTGGTTGTTTTAGCTTAATTTCTGTTATGTTTGCTTAAGAAAAATCAGCCTTGGCCTGGTACAGTGGCTCACGCCTGTAATGCCAGCATTTTGGAAAGCCAAGGCAGGAGGACTGCTTACTGGCCTGGGCAACATAGCGAGATCCTGCCTCTACAAAAAATCAGCTGGGTGTGGTGGTATGAGTCTGAGTCCTAGCTACTCAGGAGAGTGAGGCAGAAGGACTGCTTGAGCTCAGGAATTCAAGGCTACGGTGAGCTATGATTATACCATTACACTCCAGCCTGGGCAACAGAGCCAGACCCTGTCTCTTAAAAAAACAAAACAGAAAACTCAGCCTTATTATTTTACAAGTGTACCTACTGAGTGTTTCCTCCCTAACTAAACATAAATCATTGAATCCCATATAGTATTTGGCACAATTAATTCAAACAAAACAAGCAGCACTAGCACTTATCATGAACCAGACACCGTGCTCTCTACCTAAGATAGAGAAATAAAGAACACAGTTCCTGTTTTTAAGGAGCTAAGATTTTAGTAGGGGAGACAGAGAGCTAGCTTATGGTAGACAGCATTTATTAAGGTTCAATCCTATGCCAAAAGACTAGAAAAAAATACGCCAAGATGTTTGTTCATGGCGTTCAATAATTTTATCTGCATATGCTAGGATATTACACTGCTTGATATTTTCCCTCCATGGATCTTCTAAATTGTGTACTATTAACACATATTATAGACTTTGATAACAGAAGAAAATTAGGTTTAAAATTGAAAAAGTATAAAACTTGGCACCTAATGGGTTATATCTGAGGTCTCTGCTAATTAAAGTCCTCAAAGTTTTATATTTGAAACTTTAGAAATATATCTAAAATATGAATACTTTTTACCATCTCAAGAGCTATGAACCTTGGTCGTACAAACTATCATTTTTCAACTGGATTACAGTCATGCACTGCAAAATGACATTTAGGTCAATGACCATATATACAATGGTGCTCCCATAAGATTATAATATCATATTTTTACTGTACCTTTTATATGTTTAGCTATGTTTAGATACACAAATACTTACCATGGGGTTACAATTGCCTACAGTATTCAGTATGTAGCATGCTGTACAGGTTTGTAGCCTAAAGCAACAGGCCATACCATATAGCTTAGGTGTGTAGTAGGCTCTACCAGCTAGGTTTGTGTAAGTACACTCTACGTTGTTCAAACAATGAAGAAATCACCTTACAACCCATTTCTTAGAATGTATCCCAGTCATAAAGCAAGAACTAACTGTATTTTCTCAGCCTTCTATCAAGACTCTTTGGTTCTACCCTTGAGCATGCAACATCTATACACAACAAAGCATCCAGACAAATCCAGATAACACTTCATTGCTCAAAATCCTCCAATGGCTTCAGTAGATGCAAAGATCTTCCAGAGGCCCTACAAGATCTGCTCCCAGATTGTACCTCTCTGATCTATTCATCTCCACTGCTTTCCTCTGGTCTGGTCACTAATGCTAGCCACAATGGGCTCCTAAATGTTCTTTGAACATACCAAGCATACTCTCTTGCTGTTTGTTCATTCTTATCCCAAATATCCACCTGGTTTGCTCCTTTCTCTCCTTTAAGTCTGTATTCAACTCTTGCTAAGACTTTTCCAGTCCAGTTTGTCTAACGATTTAACACCCTACTCAAGCAAAAGCCATCTCCCTTTATTTGCTTTATTTTTCTCCTTGTGCTATTAGCTAGCATACTCTTATTTGTCTCCTTTCCCTCACTCTAAAGGGGAAATAATTTTTCTCTGTTCTCATCATTGATATATGTCCAGTGCATAGAGTCTAGCACAAGATACGTGATCAATTATTATTCATTAAATTAATGAATAAAGAGCAGTATTCTACATAGCTGGTAAAAGTTTGGTCTCTGGAAGCAGAAGACCTGGGTCAAATTCTAGCCCCACCACTTTGTACTTGGGTCACCTTGTACAAATTACTTAACCTTTCTAAATCTTAGTTTCCTCATTATAAAATGATGATGATGGTATTCTTATAGGGTAGTTTGGGGGATTAAAATAAAGCAGGCTGAGCATAGTACCTGGCAAATAATAAGTGTTCAATAAATGTTATCTATTATAATAATAAACATTCCCAACTCCAAAATGTCTCCAACCAAGTAATCACATCATTTGTATTAATCGTATCCATGTTTTCAAAAATAGTAGTTACTTTGCAAAATCCCTGGATCCTCACATATCAGTTTAAAACAAAGTCAATACAGGCATACTTCATTTTATTGTGCCTCATTTTATTGTGCTTTCCAGATATTATCTTTTTTAAAACCAATTGAAGGTTTAACAAGTTGAAGCAAGTCTATCGGCATCATTTTTTAAAACCATGTGCTCACTTCACAGTTCTGTGTCACATTTTGGTAATTCTCCCAATATTTCAAACTTTTTCATTATTATTATTATATCCATTATGGTGATCTCTGATCAGTAATCTTTGATGCTAATATTCTATTTGTTTGGGGGCACCCCAAACTGTACCCACATAAGAAAGCAACTTAATAAATACTGTGTGTGTTCTGACTACTCCACTGACTGGTCATTCTCCCATTTCTCTCCCTTCTCCTTGGGCATCCCTATACCCTGAGACACAACTATATTGAAATTAGGCCACAACGGCCTCTAAGCGTTCAAGTGAAAGGAAGAGTTGCATATCTCTCACTTTAAATCAAAAGCTAGAAATGATTACGCTTAATGAGGAAGGTATTTCAAAAGCCAAGATATGCCAAAAGCTAGACCTCTTGCACTAAACATTTAGCTATGTTGTGAATGTAAAAGGAAAGTTTTGAAGAAAAATAAGTGCTACTCCAGGGAACACACAAATGATAAAGTGAAACACCCTTATGGCTGGTAAGTAGAAAGTCTGAGTGGTCTAGACAGAAGATCAAACCAGCCAGACATTCCTTTAAGCCAAAGCCTAATCCAGAACAAGGTCGTAACTCTCTTCAATTCAAGGAAGACTGAGAGAAGTGAGGAAGCTGCAGAAGGAAAGTCTGAAGCTAGCAAAGGTTGTTGGTTTGTGAGGTTTACAAAAAGACGTTATCTTCATAACATAAAAGTGCAAGGTGAAGCAGCAAGTGGTGACAGTGAATCTACAGCAGGATATCCAGAAGATCTAGCTAAGGTAAATGATAGAACTGGCTACACTAAACAACAGATTTTCAACATAGATGAAAAAGCCTTCTATTGGAAGAAGATGCCATCTGAGACTTTCAGAGCTAGAAAGGAAAAGTCAATGCCTGGCTTCAAAGCTTCAAGGGAAAAGCTGACTCTTTTGTTAGGGGCTAATGCAGCTGGTGACTTTAAGTCAAAGCCAATGCTCAATGACCATTCTGAAAATCCAAGGGTCCTTAAGAATTATGCTAAATCTACTCTGTCTGTACTCTATAAATGAAACAACAAAGCCTGGATGACAGTACATCTGTTAACAGCATGGTTTACTGAATGTTTTGAGCTCAGTGTTGAAACCAGCTGCTCAAAAAAAAAGATCACTTTCAAAATATTACTGCTCACTGACAATGGTCACCCAAGAGGTCTGATGGAGATGTACAAGGAGATGAATGTTGTTTTCATGCTGCTGACACAACATCCATTCTACAGCCCATGGAACAAGGAGTCATTTTGACTTTCTAGTCTATTACTTAAGAAATACATTTTGTACAGTTATAGCTGCCACAGTGATTCCCTGGATGGAAGTGAGCAAAGTAGTCTGAAAACCTTCTGAAAAGGATTCACCATTCTAGATGCCATTGAGAACATCTGTGATTCATAGGAGGTTAAAATATGAACATTAACAGTTTTGAAGACATTGTTTCCAATCCTCGTAGATAACTTTGAGGGCTTCAAGATTACAGTGGAGGAGGTCATTGCAGATGTGCAAATGGCAAAAGAACTAGAATTAGAAGTGGAGCCTGAAGATGTGACTGAACTGCTGCAATCTCATGATAAAACCTGAATTAATGAGGAGTTCCTTCTCAGGGATGAGCAAAGAAAATGGTTTATTGAGATAGAATGTATTCTCGGTGAAGATGCTGTGAACATTGCTGAAATGACAACAAAGGATTTAGAACAGTATATAAATTTAGTTGATAAAGCAGTGGCAGGGTTTGTGAGGACTGACTCAAATTATGTTCTACTGTGGGTAATTTGCTACCAAACAGCATTACATGCTACAGAGAAACCTCTCGTGAAAGAAAGAGTTGATCGATGCAGCAAACTTCATTGTTGTCTTAAGAAATTTCCACATCCACCCCAATCTTCAGTAACCACCACCCTGATCAGTCAGCAGCCATCAATATCAAGGCAAGACCTTTCACCAGTAAAAAGATTATGACTCACTGAAAACTCAGATGATTGTCAGCACTTTTCAGCAATAAAGTATTTTTGTTTTCTTTTTTTTGAGACAAGGTATCATTCTATTGTCCAGGCTAGATGGAGTCCAGTGGCACAATCATGGCTCACTGCAGCCTCAACCTCCCAGGCTCAAGCAATCCTTCCACCTCAGCCTCCCAAGTATCTGGGACCACAGATATGCACCATCATAACCAGCTACTTAAAACATTTTCTTTTGTAGAGACAGGGTCTCACTACGTCTCAAACTCACTAGGCAGCTTGAGACTGCCTAGGTTGTCTCAAACTCCTGGCCTCAAGCAATCCTCCTGCCTCAGCCTCACAAAGTGCTGGGCCTACAGGCGTTGAGCCACCACACCTGGCCGTACATTGTTATTTGAGACATAATGCTACTGAACAATTAATATACTACAGTATAATATAAACATAACTTGTCTGTGCACTGGGAAACCAAAAAATTCACTCTCATTTTACTATCATATATATTAATGTGGTGGTCTGGAATCAAACCCACAGCATCTCTCAGGCATGTCTGTATTACTCTCTCAAATCTTACCCTACACAAGACTCTCTAGTCTCATATTGTAGCTTGTGAAGACAGATAGGGAGACATTAGTGTCTATTTTACTTAAAAACAACTTCAAGTACTGCATAGAATTGCACAAAATGACACATTTACCACAATGTTAATTAATATTCTACAACTACAACTGACTCTTGATGCTTGTTTAATAAAACCACACAAAAAAATGTTAAGCTTTAGGGACAGACGAATGAAATGCTATACTATTAATTCTGTAAGTTAGAAATTTTCAATTCTTTCAGAATTTCCCAAATTAGATTTCCCACTTGCTGAGAGGCCTACCATACCCACCTGAGTTCATAAGAAGCTCCCCAAGTGACAGGAGATCCTAATTCAGTTCAGCTACAATGTATCAGATGCCAAAAAGTGCATTGCCATTAAAAAAAAAAAATCCTTGACCCCAAGACTCTGATAGTAAACTAGGAGCAGTACACTATAACTCACAAAACTAAACTCTAATTCTGCACTAGCAATGGTACTTACAGGCTTTTTCCCTGATCTACAAGAGGATAATACCTATTTCCTAGAGTTGTTGCAAAAATCCACTGAGATAAATATTTGTAAAAATAAACTATAAACTGTACAGCAACACACACGTTATTACAAAAAGATACATTAAAGAATTTTTTAAATAAAAATAAAAAGCCACAATCCCACAACTACCCTAACCATTTTCATATTTTTATTCCCTTGAAGTCCTTATCTTCAAATACTTTTTAATAAAATTATATTCATGTGAATTGGGGGAAGACAGTATAATATGCCTAGATTCCAGGTTTAAATACTAGGTCCAGCCGGGCACGGTGGCTCACGCCTGTAATCCCAACACTTTGGGAGGCTGAGGCGGGCGGATCACAAGGTCAGGAGTTCGAGAACATCCTGGCTAACACGGTGAAACCCCATCTCTACCTAAAATACAAAGAAAAATTAGCTGGGCATGGTGGCGAGCGCCTGTAGTCCCAGCTACTCGGGAGGCTGAGGCAGGAGAATGGCGTGAACCCGGAAGGCGGAGCTTGCAGTGAGCCTCGATCGCGCCACTGCACTCCAGCCTGGGTGACAGAGCGAGACTCCGTCTCAAAAAAAAAATACTAGATCCAGAACTTACTGTGTGAACCTGGGCAAGGTTCTTAAACACCTTTGTCCTGTTTTCTCATCTATAATACCAGGATATTAACAGTATCTATGTCATAGGGAGGTGTGAAGAGAAAATGAGTTACCACTTGGTGCAGTGCCCGGCACATGGCAAATTAAATAAATGTTAGCTAAAAAAATATAAACTTAATAGTCTGCTTTTTAAAAGATTCAACATGGTATCATAAACCAAAAGTATACTATTAAAGTTTCATAAGAAAAATACTTAAAAAAAAAACTTTAGCATATGTTACATTGACTGTTTTTAAAACATATCTCCCTACCATCCCTTTGTCTAGATATTTACAGTAATAGAATCAGGCTGGGTGGGTGGCTCAGGTCTGCAATCCCAACACTTTGGGAGGCCAAGCCAGGAGGATCACTTGAGGCCAGGAGTTGGAAACCATCCTGGGCAACACAGAAAGCCCTGGTCTCTACAAAATCTTTACACATCAGCCAGGTATGGTGGCACACACCTGTAGTCCTAGTTACTAGGGAGGCTGAAGTAGGAGGATCTCTTAAGCCAAGAAGGTTGAGGCTGCAGTGAACCATGATTGCACCACTACTCTTCATTCTCCAGCCTGGGTGGCAGAGCAAGATCCTGTCTCCAAAGGAAAAAAAAAAAAAAATCAAACCAGAATCTATCTATTACTTCATACTTCCAGTAGAGGTCTCCATCTAAAAAATTATGTACTAGACTAACCTTTAAATGAGTATCCTTGGTTATTTAAAAAAAAAAACAACTATCAAATATATAAGCTTTATCAAATATGTAAGTTTAGGTTTTTACGAGTAAAATATTTAATATAAAGAATATTTGCAGTAAAAAGTGTTTTTTCTCTCTTAGTATAAGTCAGCAGAATCATCTTAACATAAAACCAGGCCAGGCGCAGTGGCTCATGCCTGTAATCCCAGCACTTTGGGAGGCCAAGGCGGGCAGATCACTTGAGGCCAGGAGTTCGAGAACAGCCTGGCCAAATGACGAAACCCTGTCTCTACTAAACGTACAAAAAAATTAGCCAGGCATGTTGTTGTGTGCCTGTAGTCCCACCTACTCAGGAGACTGAAACATGAGAATCACTTGAACCCAGGAGGTGGAGGTTGCAGTGAGCCGAGATTGCGCCACTGCATTCTAGCCTGGGTGACATAGTGAGACTTTGTCTCAAAAATAATAATAATAAATAAAGGCCCCGTTTTATATAGCAAAGAAATCTCTGATAGTCTTCTAAAATTATTCCTTTTAAAACAGAATGGAGTGGTTAGTGTAATAAATGCAGATCTGATTTGGTTTCTACTTTTCCCTTCCATCATTCAGTAGTAATAATCTTAGGCAAGTCAATTATCCCCACGCAGGCCTACCTGGAAAAGTATCCTTATTTCTACCCTTCCAGAAAGCAGAGGGCTAGACCATCTTCTTAAAATCCTTTCTAGTATTAAGACTGACGATACTACAAATCAATAAATAAATTCAGTAGCCATATCCAATTATAGCTAACTACACACTTCTTGCTCCTGTCTTTAGGAATCTAAATTTTCAGGTGCTGAAAGCTATACTACTGGGCTTCTACAAAACATTAAGTTTGTATACAATAGCTAATATCCACTTCAACTTAGCCCTTTAAATATGTAAGGCTTGGTAAATTCCTATAAGACTGGTTATGAGCAAGAACTGATCAATAAATCACCAAACAGTTTGCTTAAAACTCTAAAGAGTGCTGCTTACACACACACGTGCCTGCACAAACACACACATTTAAGCTAACCTCCATAGTTTATAAAGAGGGGGCCAAAGAAGGAGGGATGTTCCAAGCAATTCTCAGAACTAGGAAGATTTTTTCAATAACCAAATTATGATTAATTGTGAGGATCAAATATACTATGTAAAAACATAACACATTTAATTTAGCATTGATGAATTTAAATGGATTCACGCAAACAAACATAAGATTTCTGACTGTGATTAAAGTACAAATTTGCTTTTCTTCTTTAGGGGGTTCATTAACCTATAATGAAGACTTGTAAGACTAAAATAATTATTTCTCATCTTGAGAATATAAAAATCAAGCAATAATTTAAATTATTGCCTTATTATTAAATATCAAGTAATGTAATCAATGGCCAGCAAAGAACAAAAGAGCAAAAACTGTTTCATAGATAGAAAAAGAAAGATAATTTTCCTCCAAATTTATCAGCACTGTAGCTGACTTGTATTTTTGTGTTAAATTCTTGGAACATAAGAAACACTCATATTCAAATATAAGGTGCAAAAATGGAATTTTAAAAATGTAATGTTCATCATTAGCCCCTCTCTTAAATATAGATAATACCTATGGATTAAAAAAAAGATACTAAACTGTAGTAGATAACACAAAAAAATCACTAAATCTGATTTCTAAGTCTAACAATACCACTCATTAAATAAACAGATAGATGAATACTTTCATATATCACAGGATTACTAAAATTAAAGTCAATAGTTAAGATTGCATCAAAACATATAACAGGCAGTATCTTAATGAGGAAATGTCAGAAGCATCAAACTAAGGTCAGCAACAAGGCAAAGAAAAGATGTTTCCATTTTCCCTACTAATTAACATTGCATGGATATACTGGCCAATGCAATTAGACAAAAGAAAGTAATTTGATGCATAACTTAGAAGAGTAAAACAATCCCTATTTGCAGATGACACACCAAGTATACAGGTAAAATTCTAAAAAAAAGAAAAAAAAATCAATCATAAAATCAAAACTATAAAACAATTTAGTAAGGCAGCAGGTTAGAAAATATAAAAGTTCAACAGCTTTTATATAAATAAATGATAACAAGAAAACATGAAACAGAAAACCACATTTTCAATAGCAACAACAATAACAATATCCCTAAGAATAAACTTTAGAAATGTTCAAACCCTATATAAAGAAAACTTTAGGCTCTGAATGACACAAAAAGATGTGAACAAGTGGAAAGACTTCCATTGCTCTTTGATAGGTCAACTCGGTATCATCACAAAATCAGTCCTCCAACTTATAAATTTAATGCAACCCCCATAAAAAGACCAACAAGCTTTTTTTTTCTGGAACTAGAACAAACTGATACTAAAGTACACATGGAAAAATAAACATTAAAGAATAACCTTGTAAAAAAGAACTATGAGATGGGATTGGCACTATCAAAGATGAAAACATGTTAAAAAGTCTAGGCACAGTGGTGCATGTCTGTAGTCTCAGCTACTCAGGAGGCTGAGGCAGTTCGTTGCTTGAAAGTAAGAGTTCAATGCTGTCATATACTATGACTACACCTGTGAATAGCCACTGCACTCAAGCCTGGGCAACACAGTAAAATTTGTCTCTCTTTTTTTTTGAGACAGAGTCTTGCTCAGTCACCCAGGCTAGAGGGCAGTGGTGCAATCTCAGCTCACCACAACCTCCACCTCCTGGGTTCAAGCCTTTCTCCTGCTTCAGCCTCCCGAGTAGCTGGGATGACAGGCACCCACCACAGCACCTGGCTAATTTTTGTATGTTTTTTTTTTTTATTTTTTTAGTAGAGATGGGGTTTCACTATCTCGGCCAGGCTGGTCTCGAGCTCCTGACCTTGTGATCCACCCACCTCGGCCTTCCAAAGTGCTGGGATTACAGGCATGAGCCACCATGCCCAGCCAACTCAATCTCTTTAAAAAAACAAACAAACATGCTGTAATGTCTCAATAATTAAAATATAGTGAGATACCATTTCTTAATCCCCTATATTAGAGAAATTTAACAAGCCAGACAACAGAGCAAAGTTGTGGAAAACAGGTATTTTCATATACTGTTGGTAGAAGTGCAAAAAAGTTCTCTCCTACAAAGGGAATCTGGCAATATTTAACAAAACTACATGTGCATTTATTCTTTGATTGCTGCTTCAATCCCCACTTTAGTAACTAGCTCTAAAGACACAGCTGCAACAATCTGAAAATAGGTTTGCATAAAGTTACTAAGATTTACAGATTATTCAGATGACATTATTTACTACAGTAACACTGGAAACAATCTAAGTGCCATTATGTAGGGAACTGGTTGAATAAACTAGGATATAGCTACACGATGGGAACATTATGCAGCTGTTAAAAAAATAATAATGGGATTCTATGAACTTAGTGATTTTTCAAGATATATGAAGTGAAAAAAGGCAAAATATATATTTTTAATGAGCTTTATTTTAGGAAGGGAAACTAGGCTTAATCTTACGTGTTTTACATATTCATAAATAAAATTTGTTGAATTTCATAATTCAACAAACATCACAAAACGCACTTACACAAACCTAGATGGTATATAGTCTACTACATACCTAGGCTATAAGGCATAGCCCGCTGCTCTAAGCTACATACCTATACAGCATGTTACTGTACCAAATACTGCAAGCAAGTATAATACAATGCTAAATATTTGTGTATCTAAACATATCTAAACACAGAAAAGGTAAAGTAAAAATATTATATTCTTATGAAAACACAGTCATATATGCAGTCCATCATTTACCAAAACACTTTATGCAGTGCATGTCTGTACTTTTAACAATACATCTTCAGTCTAAACACAAAAAGAACTTCAAACAAATCTGTAGCTACTTGGTAGGTTTGTTGTTTGTTGTGGGATAACACTTCTGGAAGTATTCTATATGTACTGCAGAACTGAGAAGATGAACATATATACTATTGTAGAGAACTAGGATTCTTACTGAAGGTTAAGGGAGATACACGGAATGGAAGAAGGAAAAGAACTAGCTAGTATGGAGTGCAATTAGAAGTATCAGCATAGCCTCCTGATTTTCAAAATAAATGTATTTACAGACAAAATAATTTTTTCCCCAGTTCTGTTCTCTAAAAGGCCCTAGAAGAAAAAATAACCCAGTAGCAATGAGCACACCTATCACCTCGATCTTGGTTTCTATATACCATTCCGCATTAAATGGAACGAGGATTTTCAGAGAAATAGATGATTCTAGAGCTGGGTAGGCAAAATACAAGTAGACCCTGGAAGATCTTATTTTGTCAAAAAGGAAGGGCTCAAGAATAATAGACACATGTTAAAAAGATAAAGGAGCCAGCTTAAAAGGGCTCTCACTGGCCAAATCTAAGCAGCAAAATGCATAACAATGATAGATTTTAACCACTGCATAACATAAAAACCTAACTAATAAATAAATAAGAATGAAAATATGTCCCATATGTAAAAGGAGAAATGTAAAAGGAGCCAGGAGCAGTGGCTCATGCCTGTAATCCTAACACTTTGGAGGCCAATGCAAATGGATTGCTTAAGCCCAGAAGTTTGAGACCAGCCTGAGCAAAATGGCACAACCCTATCTCTATAAAACTACAAAAAACTAGCTGGGCAGGGTGGCATGCGCCTGTAGTCCCAGGTACTTGGGAGGCTGTGGTGGGAGGATGGCTTGAGCTGGAAGGTCAAGGCTGCAATGAGCCATGATTTGTGTCACTGTACTCCAGCCTGGGTGTTTTGAGACAGAGTGAGACCCAGTCTCAAAAACAAATAAATGTAAAAGAAATGATAAGAGTTAGAAAACAAGCATCATAAAATGCTTGTATCATATTAATAACTGATTCAAGCACAAATAAATGCAAGTATCATATTAATAACTGATTCAAGCCCAAACCATCAGTGGATGTTAAAACTACTGGGTAAAAGTTTGATGGTAAGCAAAATAGTTTCATGGTCTCAAGGTATGTCGCTACAGAATACTTATTAATTCAAAAAGAGAAAATGGTAACTTTACAGTGGAGAAATCAGGAGGATACCACCTTAATCTCAGCAATAATGAGACAAAGTGACATGACATGTCTCTTGCCAAAAATGCCTAACTTAAATCCTGAAAAAATATTAGACAACTCCAAACTTTATAGTACTTTTGGCCTGTATAGTTCAAAATGTAACATCACAAAAGACACAAAAAGGCTGAAGAACTACAGATATGATAACTACATGCAATACAAGATAATGAATGGGGTTGGGGGATATGATTGCTATAAAAGGCATCTTTAGGACAACTGTTAAAATTTGATTTAAGGTCTACATAATAGAGAATACAATTTTATCCATGTTAAGGTTTCTGAATGTAATAACTGTCCATTGTTACATTAGCGAATGATTTTACTCTTAGGTCATAACACATATAAATAAAAGACATTATACTGTAATAATATCCAATGAATAAACGACAGTGATAATGTGTGTATGTGTATATAAACACACACACACACTTGCCACATTTGCTTTATATTTTTCTTTTTATATGTGATAGTGTGTGTATGAGTGTGCACACCATCACATATAAAAAGAAAAATGTAAACCAAATGTGGCAAAACAATTAATTGGTTGATCTACAGGAAGTGTAAGCAAAAGTTCACATATAGATAGCAAAAGAAATTTAACAATTTTGAAAAGGAAAAACATGGCAAAAAAAGAAGAAAATAATGGATTCACCATTTCTCTCTCAACTGGACTATATCAAAAATCACATATATTTTTACTACTAGATTGAATTACTACATTGCAATATGAGGCTACCTAAAAAGACAACTCAGAAATTCAAAAGTTTGACTCTTTAATGGTGTAAACTACAAATTATACCAAACCACTTAAGAACTCTTGATAGACTACCTATTATTTGCAAGCACACTGGGAGGTACAAGTTACTCTAAGCCACTAACTACTGTTTATGAAGTTCTATGTGGTCTGATCTGAGCTCAAGCGTATTGCAAATTCACTTAATCTATGAACCATTATGGAAAGTGTGATCAACCTGAGCCTTACTACTGAAAAAGTTAAATTCATCCCATTTTTAAAATATTACAAATTAGGTATTTTCTGGACAGGGCCCTAGCTATGGTCTCTTCCTTGACCTATTGTAATAGAAGAATGTTCCCACTGATCTCATGTATGTTTATATTAACATTTTATTTATTTAAAATTAATCGCTGGGCTAGCATAGAGACAGAATAAAATTTCACCCAAAAACACTTCACCATGAAAGATACGTATTATTTAATAAAGATCATCTTTGTGCACACAGCAATTGACTACTGGCCACTATATATAAATACTTATCAAGTATGACAGTAAGAACTCAGAAAGACCAGAATTATGAAACCTGGCCATATTTTACAATAAGATGTTTATCCAAACAATAGATTACACAACTTTATTTGAATTCTTCATAAAAAGTAACTTTCTGCACTCCAGCCTGGGCGACAGAGCCAGACGCTGTCTCAAAAAAAAAAAAAAAAAAAAAAAAGTAACTTTATATTTTATCCCAATTATATGGTAGTTTTAAAAATTATTTACTGATACAAATAAAAGCCAAGCACACCTGGAACATGGAATATACCTGCATAAGATGAATAGCAACTATGGATAATGTAGGATTATCTATAAGACAATTAAGACAATGCTCTGGCCGGGCGCAGTGGCTCACGCCTGTAATCTCAGCACTTTGGGAGGCCAAAGCAGGTGAATCACCTGAGGTCAGGAGTTTGAGACCACCCTGGCCAACATGGTGAAACCCCATTTCTACTAAAAAAGCAAAAAAACAAAATAATTAGCTGGGCATGGTGGCGGGCACCTATCATCCCAGCTACTTGGGAGGCTGAGGCAGGAGAATCACTTGAACCCAAGAGGTGGAGGCTGCAGTGAGCCAAGATCACACCACTGCACTCTAGCCTGGGTAACAAGAGCGAAACTGTCTCAAAAAGAAAAAAAAAGACAACACTCTGTAAAATGTACAGCAGGTCTATCAGCAGGGAAGGGAATGGGAAGGTGAAGCAGGGAAAGTAGGGTCTGAAAATATGTAAAATATCCTTTCCTGACTAGCAACTGTGGCTGACACTTAAGGCTGGGAGTTGGATATAACCTAAAGCCTTAAAAAAAAAAAAAAAAAAAAAAAAAAAAAAAAAAGTAGCCCATATGCCCCAGGAAGAAAAAAGTTTGGGTGGCATAAAGAATTTTTTCCCTTGCTTTTATACATAAAAAAAGAAAGAATATTTTTCCTAGTTGTTATTTTTTCTAAGATTAAATAACACAATTACTTCTCAAATTTGAAATGATAAAAATAAAATCTCCGGCCAGCCGGGTGCAGTGGCTCATGCCTGTAATCCCAACACTTTGGGAGGTCAAGATGGGTGGATCACCTGAGATCAGGAGTTTGTAGACCAGCTTGGCCAACTGAAACCCCATCTCTACTAAAATACAAAAATTAGCCGGGTATGGTGGCACACGCCTGTAATTCCAGCTACCTGGGAGACTGAGGCAGGAGAATCACTGGAACCCAGGAGGTGAAGGTTGCAGTGAGCCAAGATCATGCCACTGCACTCCAGCCTGAGTGACAGAGAGCAACTCCGTCTCAAAAATAAATAAAAATAAATAAATAAAATCTCCCATATGAAAATGTTTTGAAAAACAAAGCTGGTGGACATTAAACAAAACAGGTTATTGTTAGTATTATTACTTTCACAGGAATTTATACATGTTAACTCTACTACGAAATACCAGGACAGACCAACAAAATTTTCACAAACAAGCATCCAGTAAATTCAGTAAAACAAATGGTACCCCATTTGGAAAGAATATAGTAAAGTTCTATGAGAAAAAAAAACCATACATATATGTAAAGAAAGTTCTCCAATTAGGAATAAGTGAGGAACACTTATTTTTAATTAATTTTTTTAATCCAAATTACATAAACACACTTAGGATAAGTTAGAATTTGGTAGTTCATTTACTCTTTTTTTCCCTTAACTAAAGTGGAGCCCTTGTTACCTTCTCTAGAGTCCAGAGACAAAGTATAAGTGTGTCCAAGCTGTGGTCAGAGATGACAGGTGCAGCTTGAGCAGGTGCCCCTAGACCAGATGTCACCTGGAGGTTTTGTTCTGGATGTAACCCTGACCAATATGTTCATGCCATGTTAAACTAGTCATCTCAGCAACTAAATTGGTTTCATTACAATACTTAGATCAACTGTTCTCAAACTTCAGTGTACTTAAGAATCACCTGGAGCACTTTTTGGAAATACATATTAATCAAATTATTAATACCTAAAACCACTGTTCAATCTTAGCATCACTAAAAGGGGACAACTAAACATTATATGCCTCATGATATGATGAAAAGCACAGCAGTACCTATCAAGTATGCCTAAAATATTAAATCTGAATATTATTAACCTTTAGATCTATCACTTTTCAGCAAATATGTATGAGGGATAGAGGAACAAGTTAATTGACACCAAAAGAAAGCAATCAAAGCCAGAATTTAAGACAGTCTAAAGAACAAATTGACCCCTTTACTCCAAATCAATGGTATAATGGGGAAAAAAAGGGCGGGGGGAGAGGGAAGGCAGCAGCCAAAACATCAAAACCAGCACATTCTCCCTGGGGCTCCACCAAAAATTTCTATGGCAGTAAGATGGGAGTGAAGCCCTGTAAACGCTGACTTAGATATTCATGGAATATGGGTCTATCATTTTTGGTCAACAATTCAGAATGTGATAGCTATTCCTGGACATCACTAAGAGACTTCCATTCCAGCAATAGTTTATTGCAATGTATTTAGTCAAATGAATTATCAATTCACAACATAATGAATACACAGAAAGTATCCAAGCACAAGTGAAATTTATGTTTTAAAACAGAAAAAAGTTTGTTATTTCTTTTATCACATTATAGTTTAAACAGTAGAAAATGTATAGTTGTGCATCTCTTAGGTTGGTGCACAAGTAATTGCAGTTTTGGCGATGGTGTTACACTATTTACTGTGGGGTGAAACACTGGTGAAACACTATTTACTATGGGGAAGGGAAGAGAAGTAGTAATGTTTCCCCAAAATGTCTAGAGATCCACAATACACATTAGCAAAATAAAGTCTCTAAGAAGTCCTGCAATAAAGTAACCCAAGTTTAGCCTTTTGCTCAAGTTCATTTCGTCTTCTTTTCATGGAAATATATTAACATTTCTGGAAAACTAGTGTTTCTAGAGTACAAACTCTAGTTGGCCCTGAATACCAAAGACTGTGGTGATCAAAGCAGCAAAAGGAGAATCCCCTCAACCCCATCCGTCTGCTCCATTTATCCTCTATGTCCTTCCCAATTCAGACAAAATCCATTTTTATCATTAAACTTTAGTAGGTCTGGAAAACACCCAATAAGCACCTTCACAATATAATTAAAACTTTTAAATACTTTACCTAAAAATATATATTAAGTACCTGCTCACTGACTAATGAAATGCAGTTAAAACTGTGTTTTTCCTTCCTTTCCAACTTCTAATTTCATTCAGTTTGAGAATATAAAATATCTAGTAGCAATATACTTTTTTTTTTTTTTTCAGACGGAGTCTCGCTCTGTCACCCAGGCTGGAGTGCAGTGGCACGATCTCGGCTCACTGCAAGCTCCGCCTCCCGAGTTCAAGTGATTCTCCTGCCTCAGCCTCCCGAGTAGCTGGGACTACAGGTGCATGCCACCACGCCTAGCTAATTTTTTGTATTTTTAGTAGAGACAGGGTTTCACTGTGTTAGCCAGACTGGTCTTGGTCTCCTGACCTTGTGATTCGCCTGCCTTGGCCTCCCAAAGTGTTGGGATTACAGGGCGTGAGCCACCACGCCCGGCCACAATATACTTGTCTATCAAAGACGTTATAGATTTCACACGATCAACTATGAAAATACTGAATCCACAACAAAGCAGAGATAGGATTATGAAAGAGTGCTTCTATTCAGGGACATTTTTAGTTAACAGCTAAGGTAGAAAATTTAACTGCAAAAAAAAAGCATATAAACATTTTTGGGAATTATAATGTTCTCATTTTGTATCCTCAGGAAAATTTGTAACCTCAGTGAAAACTATCTGTCTTAGAAAGAACTCAATTTATTTCTACTTTGGGCAATTTAAGCTCTAAAAACATGGATTCTAAGACATAACACTAACCTAGCTGAGCTTTGATAAGTCTTTCAACTTTCTCCACTTTCTGCTCTTCCTTTCAACAAGTCTGCATGTCCTTTAAAAACGTAACAGAATATCAGAAAATATCAAAATCAGGTTTTTTGTTTTTTAAAATGGATACACTGCCAGGCTCAGTGGCTCACTTTTGTATCCGAGCACTTTGGAAGGCTGAGGCACAGTGGCTCACTTTTGTATCCCAGCACTTTGGAAGGCTGAGGCGGGAGGATACCTTGAAGCCAGGCATTCAAGACAAGCATGGGCAACAAAGCAAGACCCCTGTCTACACACACACACACACACACACACACACACACACACACACACGATACAGTTTATAAAGTTAAATTTGAAATACATGCATGAATAACTTATTGATATATTTGTCTTCCAATCTCCATATACTTTTATTTTCCTTCCTTGAATAAGAAGGGCAATCAGTTTATTCAGTTCCGTTTAGCAATTTACAAACTCAGTGCTTATATACCTAAGGCTTTCTCTTAAAAGAATTGATCTATATGGTGGACACTAACTAGAGAACACATGAGTGTATTCATTCAATTTAACTAACAAATGTAAACTCCCTCAAATGGTGTAATTTAAGAAAGAGCTTTACCCACCAAGAAAAAAAAAATAGAATAAATTCACAATGCGATTGAAAATGTACTATGGTAAACATAACTCTACAATTAAGTTTCTGACTATTCTAAAGGTAGGTACATATAAATAGAAATGAATATTTCAGTGCCAGAAAACTAGTAACATATAGTTTTGTACAATAAATTTTTAATGTCCAAGATATTTCACCCCCTTTCCAAAAAAATCAAGTTTTATAAAGGAAACATCAAGTTAACCTTGACTATAGCTGTAATATTGGCATCAGTAAGCAAAAACAAAATTTTAAAATATTTGAAATATTTACCTAAATCTTCATACCAAAACTTCAAATTCTTAACCCAGATAAGACCAGCAAACTGTCCCCCAATTTCAACAACAAAACAGAACAAAAAATTAAAATCCACCAAGTAAATATGGAACACATTAGGCAAAGAGATACTTGGGCATAAATTTAACCATAAGTAATTTCCAAATATTATTGAACACGTCATGAACACAACATTTTGGTCCAATTAATGAAATGTTCCCTAAGCCATTTAATTTTTTTTTTTTTTGCACTTTAATATCTCCATCTACAAAATGTGGGAAACTATACCTTATCCTTTCATACTATAGGAATATCCTAATAATAAACATTGGTGGAACACATTGAGATGTACATGCCAAGAAAAGGAACTACATGAAAATAAAGTGCATAAACATCACAGATGATTAGTATCCAATTTTTAATTTATTTATTTTATTTTATTTTATTTTTTTGAGAAAGAGTCTCACTCTGTCGGCCAGACTAGAGTGCAGTAGCACGATCTCCGCTCACTGCAACCTCCGACTCCCGGGCTCAAGCAGTTCTCCTGCATCAGCCTCCCAAGTAGCTGGGATTACAGGCATGAGCCACCATGCCAGGCTAATTTTTCTATTTTTGGTAGACACGGGGTTTCACCATGTTGGCCAGGCTGGTCTCAAACTCCTGACCTCAGGTAATCCGTCTGCCTCGGCCTCCCAAAGTGCTGAGATTACAGGCGTGAGCCACCGCACCTGGCCTCCAATTTTTAAATAGACTGCTTTTACACATTATCTGTAAGCACTTTACTTTTTTTTAATTTTTAATTTTTGTGGGTACACAGTACGTGTATATATTTCTGGAGTAGGTGAGAAACTTTGATACAGGCAGGCACTTATATTTGTAAAAATTAAATGCCAATGTTAAAATAATCAATTGCATTTTCAATTTTAGACTCTAAGAAATTTTTGTAGACAAGCTATAACTGAATAAATGTATATTTGAGAAAATTAAGTTAATGTCTGGCAGACCATTAATACTCAAGTCTATATTTAATGACTGTCAATATTTGTATCAAAAATAACAAAACACTATTAAAATATACATGGCCAGCATACTAGCTTGCTCTTCCTAATTTAAATTATCTGTAATATTATGAAGATATATCATAAAACACTAGGCTAACAGCCATCCATCCAATTAATAGCAAACTTACAGGGGAATGTGAGCAAATATTAAACTTGTAAAGGAGGAATAACACATATAATGACAGTCTTACAATAGGTCAAATGAAAAAGCAGTTCATATTAAAAAATTATTCCACTTGTAATTTAAAAAACACACTGCATTATCTGCTCATCAGTAATGATGATATTCAATCTGACGTAGCAAAGAGGTAACTTATCAAGTCACTCGATTACTATTTCTTACTATGAAGAGCCAATCTTATGGGTAGGTAATAGAATTGCTGTTACTTGGCATCTTGTCTGCCAATTAAGATTTTTCAGAGGAAGGTGTAAAAGCTAGCATCATATATATCCTCTTACTGTGCAATATTAGACCACCAGGAAAAAATTCTTTCAAGGTTGGTAGTACCTAAGTTTTGACCAGCATATTTCTTTTGTATTTCTTTACAAGCCATGCAAATCTTCACATGGTTTTATTTTCCAAAACAAATGCTTCAACTTTTTTCCTAGTAGCCTAGCTACAACCCTGCAAAAACAAACCTAGAGAGTGACATATGGAGGAAAAACAAGTTTAACTAAGGACATAGTTCAAAAAGCAGCTTCTAATAAGAGCAAAAAGCCCAATTTGATCTGAAGACCATGTAAATACTTACAATGTTGAAACTATATAGTTAAAAACAGTACCTATAATTAATGATATCCTCCCAAGATAAAAATGACAACTGGAAAAACAATATTTATAATTAACTTTTGTTAAAAAAAATTGGAAGCCTAGATATTAATTTGATTATGCTAAAACTATTAGTATGAATGTAAACTCTTCAGAAAAATATACATCTCATGAATCATGTATATTCTATAGTACTTTCTGGTTATAAAACTTAAGTCAATCAATCTAACAAATATGAAGCAAAACTTCAAAAATATGTATTTCAAACAGTCCAAAATTCAAATGCTTTAAACTGATAAAAACATAAAACCAGAATATGTATTAACATGTTCCTCTCAATATCATAAATAGAAATGAGCAAATGAATGTCACGATGAATATAAAACTCTCTTGTTTCTCACCCCACTACTAACTCAACGGTTTTGGAGGTTAATTTTGCTTTTTGATTTAGCCCTTTAATTTAAAATGTACTCTGACACAAATGCCATCACACACACACAATAGATGACAACCATATTTAATATTTTCTAGACTTCCTGTGTAACTCAATAACTACTCCACAAAGTTCTGCGAACTCCAGCTTCAAGCCTGAAGTCAATCTAAGATAGCCAATAGAAAGTACACCTGTGCGATTACTGCATTTCCTATTTCAGAATGCTGAACGTAATACACAATAACTGAGTGCATCTGAAGCAATAATAAATGCAAAACTCAAATTATGCAGAAGCCACCTTACAAAAAAAGGCCTGTACTATCACTATTAAAAAGCAATAAATACAAAGAATATCATTTTAGTTTTTAATAACACCAACTAACTTAGGATCCTCTAAGATAAGCACTTTAAAAATAAAACACAGCATCATGATAAATTACAGTATGAAAGTATTCCTAGAAGAAAAACTAGAGGCAAAAAAAAAAACGCTAAATCACAAAATATATCATCTAGACTGTATCACATACCAACTGAATAAGAAATTAAACTTTGCCGAATAAGCAGTCAAAGAAGAAGAGGGAGAATGAAAGAAAATCCAGATTATAGTATCCCATTTCATAGTATCCCCATTTTCCTAAAGATATAATAATTTAAATTATCTAATTTAAATTACTAATTTAAGTCACTGGAAATTCAACAAAAAGTAATTATCAAAACAATCCTGGTCACCTAAGCCACCAACATGTTATGCCATGTAGGAATATTCTACTGAAAAACCTATTCAATGACACTGTTCCAAACAAGAAGTTTCATTAAAAAAAAAAAATTCTTAAAGCCAGAATTTTTAAAACTAAAGGAGTTTCCAAAACAAAGAAAAAAATTTTCCCAAAGGTTACAAAGTTTCATTAACTATCTTAAGTCTTTTACTAAGCATCACCTTTCTGCCCCTCAGTGGGTATCAAGCGATGAATAACAATGTCACAAAAGAATGTTTACCAAGATTGGGGCTGGGGTGTCACCTGTAATGATTTTGTATGAAAAATGTAAACGATCCTGAAATTGGTGAGGAAGACTTTCACCTTCCTACAATCTCACTTTATTTATATTAAATGTGTCTCAGTCTGAAATGAACAAGAGCTTAAGAACTGTTTGGTGTGCAAGGTTTGCTTTTGTTTTTGCTAAAAACAAATCTCTCCATAAGTCCCTTATTTCCAAATACTATGGAAAAGTCACTACTACTCACCGCAAGTAATACTGTTTTAAAGCAAAGGCAGCGTTAGAACAACTTCTGGGAAAGTTGAACTCTTCAACAATTTCTCCCCACTGATTCTTCTCAGAAACCTGGTAAAACACAGGCACAGTTGTCTGAACGTGAACAATCTAAGAAAATCTTAACCTAACTATGAAATAAATACCCATTCTACAGAGATCTGTAGATACCTAAGGCATCAGTGGGTGTTTCGGATCGATCGGTAAGAGTTACTAAGCAAGGGCTTCTTGAATCACTGTGTTTTCACCAGAGAGCCCTGTATTTAATACCACTTGTTTTGTTTGGGGGTGGGGGGGTTTGGTGGGTTTGTTTTGTTTTTGAAGCCCGGACAATAACCAATCGCAAGTCCCTCTGTCGCCCCCTTTTAAATCTCAACGCGGTCCGTTTACACTAAAAAAAAAAAAAAAAAAAAAAGTTCAAAAGGATCAATACAGTTCCGGACAGCGACGTCCGCGGGTTGGGGGGGGGGCCGGGGCTGGGGCCGATTCCGATCCCTCTCCCAGATCTATCCATCTCCATAGGCCCTTCTTTGAGGCCTACAGCTTCTGCCTAGCCTTGAAGCCTAAGATGGCTATTTGGAGACAGGTCCTGGTTTCTTTTGTTAGCTGTATAAACCGAGGGCGACGGGGCCGAGGCTGTGCCCCCGGCTGCCGGGATTATTTCGCAGCCGATTATCGATGTTAAACCTGCCCGCGCTAATTTTGAGTTGCACGAAAACTGCTCTCAGAGTCTGTGTGTCTCTGTGTGTCTCCGCCTGTGCTAGAGCGGCAGCGGCGGCAGAGCTGACTCGCGAGCGAGCGGGCGGGCGGCGCGGGAGCGGGGCGGGCGCGGGGCTCAGGCTGGCGCCCCGCACGCCCGCATTCCCCGCCGCGGCGCTCAGACCCCGCCGGCCCGACCGGGCACCGGGCAGGGCGCGAGCCGGCGCCGGGCCGCCCGCCCGCCGGAGCCCCGCGCCCGCCGCGCGCACGCGAGCCACCAGGCCAAAAACAGCCCCGCCGCCGTCCGCCTCCGTGCCACCGGCTGGGAGCGAAAAGAACGCCTTTTGCCCCCGCGGGCCACCCCCCCAGCCCCAAGCGCCCACTCCGGGGTCAAAGGAGACTTTTTGGAGGAGGCCAGCGAGAGGGAAATACAAATTAAAACTTCCACTCACCTTCGCGAATCCGCCTAAAGTAGTGACTCTGGTGTAGAGACCGTGAAGATCCAGCTCCTTCCCACCCACCGCAGGGATTTTTTTAAAAGGCGACCTGCGGGAGAGAAAAAGCCCCGCACTTGTCAGCCGGGACCCCGTGCCCGGCCCGGGCGGGAGAGCCCCGTTCGCCCCGGCTCGCCCCGGCGCTGCCCCCCCGGTTCTGCTCTCACCCTCTGCTGTGGTGGAACTGCCGCAGCTCGTCCAGGAAAGCGAGTCCCTTTCTCCGCTCGTCCGGAGGCGCCTTCCCCGTCGAGTTTGCCATTATTTTTTCAAAGGAGGTTTTTAAAAAACCCAGATCGGTGTTTTAAAAGCGCCCCCCGCTCCCAGCGCTTCCTACCAGAGCCCGGAGCCCATTCCTCGGCCGGCGGCGGCGGGGCTCAGTCATGGGCCGGCGGTGGCGGCGGCGGCGGCGGCGGCGGCGGCGGCGGCGGCGCAGGGAGGGAGGGAGGGAGGGGGAGGAGGAGGAGGAGGGGAAGGAGGGAGCAGGAGGCCAGGGGGAGAGGAGGGAAGGAGGGAGGGGAATTTCTAAAAAAGTTTAAAGAAATCGGAGCGAAACTAGAAGGGCAGGCGACTGCCGGATCCGCGCGAAGCCGCGGGGCGAGCGCGGCCCCCACCCCTTCCTTCCCTCCCTCCCCGTGGCCCGGCTCTCGCCCGCCTCTCAGCGCCGCCGGCTGAGGCAGCTCAGCCCGGGGACGCGATTCAACATGGTGCTGCTGCCGGGGGCGCGCGAGCGGGCGACGGGCAAGGCGAGCCGATGGTGAGGGGTCTGGGCGGCCAGAGGCCCAAGAGTTTCGGCGGCGGCGGCGGCGGGGCTAGGGCAGGCGGGGCTGGGGGTGGGGAGGGGGAGGTCTGTGTGGTGGTTTGTGGAAAGCGCGGTGACAGCGTGTATTTCGGCCCCGGCTCCGCGGGGCCCTCGCACACATTCACGCGCGGCCTCGGCCGCTGAGGCCGGGGCGTCCCCGGGCAGAAGCACCGGCGGCAGCTGAGCCGCTGCGCGCCGCCCGCCTGCTTCCCTCCCCGCCAGCCTCCCTCTCTGCCGCCGCCACGGCCTGGCAGCCAGTGCCACACAGCGACCCCCGAGGGCTGGCCGCGGCACTGCGCCTGGCTCCACACCGCCCCGGCAGATCCTCGCGGGGAACAATAGACTCGACTCGCCGGGCTTAGGGTTCGTCTGCAATGTGCCGCACATTTCACACGCACACAAAGCCGGCGGAAAGGGGGGCGGTGCGGGGAAACGGCCACTACCGGTTGTTCCAGGGTTAGGGGTGGAGGCGATGTTCGCGTCCCCGGCCCGGCTGTTGGAAGGGCCGCCTCGGAGTCCCCGCCCGCCCGACAGAACCGGTGTGGCGCTCTGAAGGGAAAGGAAGCTCACCGGGGTAGCCCCTCACGCTACGCAACATTCACAGATCGGAATAAAGTCAATTTGTTACCTTCTGTTTTTGTAAAATCTAAAGGAATCGGCTTTTATGAGCCGTATGCTAGTATTTTGGGGCCTGGTTAGCACATTTTCTATGAATTATCCACACGCTAACTTTAGCAAACTATACGTTAAATACAATGTGAACTGTCTGTCCTAGTTCTGTGGAAATAGAGTAATGCTCTTAATTCATCTTGCCGCTGGTTGGCTTCACATATCAAACTGGAGTATTCTATGAGCAAAGTTATGCAAACTAACTAAACTGGTTGGGAAGCAATCTATCGAACTTCGACAATAATAATTAAGGTTTACATTTTTATAGTAAGGTCTCTTCAAGATTGCTGCGTTTAAAATAAATACCGAATAAAACGTTTTTCCTTGCTTTCAAATGTCTTAAATGTAATCCTCGTTTAAAATATTTTGAAGGTTAAAAAAACCCTTTGCTTAAATGAGTCAAAACATCTCAACAAATACTACCACCTAAATTTGCATTTACGAGGGGTGTTGGAGCCGGCTCTTTGCTACAAATGTTAATTAAGATTACAGTACGTGAAACGTATTATTATTCCCATTTTAGTGACGGCCACCACGGGCAAAGTCACTGCCTAACCCAAGGTCACAGGGTAGTAGGGGTCTGGATGGGTTATTTCAGGTAGTCGTTCCAATGGGAACATTGCTTTGGAGGTGAAAAATTATGTAATATAGTGCAGCTTGCTTCCGGTGCTCACTCTAGGAAACGGACTTATTTCCCAACTAAAGTTTGTCTCTTAAGTGGGGTCGGAATAAGGTTGTGGCTAGGAAGATCCTGACAACCCAGGGCCAGTGAGTGTCTCGGAAGCCTGTGAGGGGCGGAGACCCGGCCCGGGGAGGTGGAGAAGCTCGCCGGCCGCGGAAGACTAGGGGTGAGGCTGCTGCGAGGAAGACCCGGTCAGCTGTCCCTTCCCCCATCGGTCCTCTTAGGGGAAGTGGAGATGTGGGCCTCGGAGCTGCGTGGCCCGGGCTGTGCGGATTCCCTAAACGCCGCACTTGCGCACAGCCCCTTACGTAACCGTCAGTGCCGGGGATTCCCTGGAGGGGGTCATTCTATTCAACCATTATACACACCCCGGGCTCCTGCCGCCGCGCCGCCGCCGCCTCACAAAATGGCGGCGCCCATAGAGGAGACCGCGGCCGCCTCCCCGGCCCCATTTTGTGGGAGGCGAGAGATCTGTCAACATGGAAAACCTCTGCTGAGGATGCATCCGAGTTTGGAAACCCCACTTAAGGGATGGAGCCTGGGGGATCACATTAAACGGAAAATGCCAACGACTTCTACCACCTCTACGCGTTTTTAGTTTTTCATTTTCTCGAAGGAAGCGCCAGAAGCCTGTGGAGTAATTGTAACTAGAGGGAGAACGGAAAGCTGAGGTGACTGCTCCGGGGACTTGGCGCGGCGCCTTGGTGGCTTTGGTTGCTCTTCCACGCTCCCGGCAGCTGACCAGAATCTCTTGGAGGGTCTCCTGGGCCACCTCGGCCGCGCCAGTCGTGCAGTGAGACTTCTGTAGTTTTAAAATGCCACAGTCCACGGCCCGGTCGGCACCGCTCGCCTGAATCGTGGGCTTTGGGAACCTTGGAGGCTGCTGCTCCAGGAACTCGCGGTCGGCCGGGAGCCGGGGAGCTTCGTTGCTGGGAGCGGGCGGTATTCGCGGACTCCGGCGGCCCTGGCGGGTCGCGGCCGGGATCCGAGCCGGGGATGACGATGCTGATGGAGCTGATGGGGCAAGAGTGGGAACGGAGGCACGTACACTGAAATTTAAGTCATCCAAGTTGGGACTTAAGATAGCAGGTTAATATTGTCTCAGGCGAGACTTAGAACGTCTTTTCTGGTATCCCAGTCTGCAGTGGGCAAATCTATTGTCTTTATTTCTCATTTAAGGGCAGAATGGAGGGATGACATATTTTTACTTTTCAAGAGGCGGTTGCCACTTTTAAGTCACTGTTGTGTGTGTGTGTGTACATACACAAACATACGATAGTGTGTTTTCAGAGCAAGTATCAAAGGCTAAAGACTTGGAGTGATACTAGTGTTTAAAAGCCTTTTTAAAAAAATTAAGATGTGATGAGAAACTGGAGAATTGACTTTTAAAAATTTCTTTTCTGTAGAAGAGGCTATCTTCAAAATGGAGTCCTAAAGTATATCTGATGGATAGAATTTAAATTCTTAACACTGTATATACCCTGTGGTCAAAAGCATCAACGTAAAACTTGATGTTTATCAGATTACTTATGTTTCAATTTTCCTGTGGTTAGAAAAATTAAGACAGAAGTAAGCTATTAACGGTATTTGCTTGTAAGAGTAACGTTAAAGGTTTAAGGAAAGGTTTGTTGAAATCGATATGCATCACACGAATCATTTATTTTCAATGTTGTTTTCCAGTTGCAGCAATCATTTGTGTTTACATGACTTTGAAAAAGGGTTTAGTTTATGTTGATTTTGACCCTCTTATTTAATCTCTAGTGCAGAAGTGCAGCTTTCTGCAGGCTGCGCCTCAATCGCTAAGTTCCACTCTCCATCCTCTGCCGCGCTACTCCTGGCATGTGGATCACCAAGATACAATTTCTGGTCCTGTCTGTTCTTATTGATGTCCTTTACAGTTAATAAATTTGATTGCCACTAATCAGTCTGTATCTCTTGCAAAAACACCACATTTAGCATCCAAGTAGAGTCAGAGTATGTTTTTTATGAGATTGTACTAAAGTAACCTTCTATTACATTTCTTATTACCATATTGCATTTCCTATAGTGGGCAGCATAGAGCAGGTGGATCCTGACAAAGTAATGTTAGAGATGTGCTGACAGCTTTACAATAGATATTCTCCAACTAATTTGACAAGATATAAAATAAAATGTAGTTCGTAGTTTTCAAGCATTAATGGAAAGTGTTCCTATTAAAAAATTACCAATAACAGTGGAAATTGTTGCAATCCAATTTGTATAGTTTACTGTTTTGATGACAAAGCGCTTATGATGGGAAAAATGTAGTGTTGCTTTTGTAACTGCAAACGCTGCACGCCGTAATTAGAGGTTTATGTTATTTTATTTGAATTTTTCATTCTTACCATCAGTTTTCATATTAGTCAGGAAATTGTGATAAATTAAAAATTCCCTCATTCAACTAAACCTTAAAAAACTGTACCCAGTTTCAAATCAAGCATTATCAGGTGTATGATTACAACAGCTGAAATAAATTGAGGAATTGGTATGCCAACTCAGTGGAGAAATTTTGGGATTTTAGGTCACTCTAAGATTTAAAAAAATAGTTTGATTCGTTAAACAAGGCTATTGAAGTTAAATTGATATTTCCTTAAAGATGATTTTAGAGAAAAATTCCTTGGCGAGCTTCGAGAATGCGTTCATGGCTTCTGTTGCCTGTACCTACTGCTATACTTTTTTATGTGGACTAATTTGTCTTATTTGAAAATTTGATTACAATATCAAATCCTAGATGAAGCCCTTCCATTCTTAGGGTGATTCTAAGGAGTACTGATAACTAAGCTCTTAAAAGGCGAGGAAATAGTTTATTCTACTGCAGATTAGGGTAATCTTAATACAGACACTCTGATGGTAATTCTAAGCAGTGTTGATAACTAAGCTTTTAAAAGATAAGGAAATAGTTTATTCTACTTCAGAGTAGGGTAATTTTAATGCCCTGAATATACTCTGAATCTTTTATAGATAGATTTCTGGATGATTTGGCCCAAAAAATCTGATAAGCTTTGGGGAATTTTTTAATTTTTTTTTCTCTTAAAGAGAAATCAGAAATGTGGGATTTTTTTAAAAATTTATTTTCAGTAGATATTGGAGATTATGCTTTGTACATTAAATCCAGTTTGATTTTTAAGTGATAATTTTCAATTAAAGACTTTTTAATAAGACAACTAAAAAATTAAATTTTAGTCAATTACAATAATATTTTTTGGAGAAGCATTCCCAGATGTGCTTTTGACGGGGAGTTGATTTCATTAGTTGTTTGGGTTGTTTAATCCAGAATTTTTAAAACTGTTATGGGTTTAATTTGCTACATTTGTCCATTCTTATTCATTTCATCTGTTTTGATCACTGAAAAGTTGTCTAAAAACTGTGCTCATTATACACAGTTTATAGTATTTTAATACTTTGTTTATAGTATTTAATAGCTTCTGAAAACTTTAAGAGAACATACTAAACCAAGGAACTATTTATTAATGGTAATCTATATTTAGTAATAAATATATTTGTAACTTACTAAATGTAAGTTTACTAAATGTAGATTACTAAATCACTGAGTAAATATTTCTTGAATATTTGGACAAGAGATGGGGGGAGGGAGAATGACTTGACCCTCAAGAAACTTAACTGCTACCTTTAAAAGGTTATAATGAAGCTGGGCACAGTGGTACACACCTGTAGTCCCAGCTACTCAGGAGGCTGAGGCAGGAGGACCCCTTGAGCCGAGGAGTTCGAGGCTCTGTCTCTTAAAACAAAAAAAGTTATAAAAATATTCAGACTGGAGGGTTCCTAACTTTTAATACTTAAGCAGGGTCTTTACCACAGAGTTAAATTTAAAATTCTGTTTAGAATGGTAACAAATTTAATTATGTACAAAACAGCATCACTTTAGTGTTAGGATCAGTGTTACTCAAAGTGTTGTAATGTTAATAACAAGCATTTAAATCACATTGTTTGAAAACTGGGATCTACAAAAAATATGATTCCAATAATTAACTTTTTAATTATGGGAAAGGCAAGGGAATGTTCAGTGAATGTAAAAAAAATATACTACTGAGCAAACAAATTGTTTTAATGAATTTTGATTTTCTGTTTTAATTTTTTGGTACATTGACTCTTCTTGACATGGCACTTTGCTATTAATTAAAAAAAATTAAACCCCAAAGACAAATTAATTCTGTATTTAATGCAGATTTAATTCTTGACTAGCTGTAATGCTTAAGGAGTTGGCAGTCTTGTTGGCAAAACAATAAAATAGGAATTAAGCTGAAATGTAAAATTGTGTAATAATTAGGTTTCATTAAAGTATATATAGTTTCCTTAATAACTACATGAGTCAGTAGTGTTGACTTAATAATAAGTTATTTAGCTTTTGCTTTTCTCTGAAAACATATCAAACTCTTCATATATAGCATCGAAATAGATATTCAACCTGAGCCACTGTAAATTGTTGAAGCTTATTGCTATACATTAAGGGAAATTCTATCCAACAGTTCAGTGTAAACAATTTTTTAAAGGTGCTATGATTCTTTAACATGATTTGTAGTATGTAGAACTCAAGTATTCTAGAATAATCTTTGCATGATAATGTATGAGAAACATTTATAAACAGTCCTTCAGGTGTACAAAATAACTGACATAATATTTTGCATTTAACTACACTGCCTCCAAGTATTTTAAACAAAGATGAAA
This sequence comes from Homo sapiens, assembly GCF_000001405.40. Taxonomy (NCBI): domain Eukaryota; kingdom Metazoa; phylum Chordata; class Mammalia; order Primates; family Hominidae; genus Homo; species Homo sapiens. The sequence goes on along the minus strand of NC_000012.12, from coordinate 45,723,241 downwards.
TTTTTAGAGTATTGTGCTATATTTTTATAACTGAATTTCCCTCTTATTAACAATACTCATAACATTTAGCCATTAATGATTACTGATAGCTTAAATAAGAGTGTAGTTTCTGTTTCTAATGTCTATTAATTTTAACCCCATTTAAAGATATTTCCTACTTATCATACTCAAAGTTAATCAGAAGTTAAATAAATGATGGTCCTTCTGGTTCTCTGGAAACTGAAAAGAAGCTTCTGTTTCTTTAGGGTATGCAGGAATTTTTTTTCTTCCCAGTGAGCTGAATCCATCCTTTACGCTGCTATTTGCTAACCTCAGTTGTTTTTCTGCTCCATTAAAGTTGAGGCCACCAAAAATAGTAGTAATATCACAACTACAAAACCCTGGGTGGATTTGTACCCATTGCACATACACTTCTTGCTGCCAATTCCTAAGAGACTTTTGAAATAATAGTATATTCCCAGCTGGACAATATATTCTACTTGTGGCCTATGTATAGTGTTCAACAAGTCCAGGAGCCCTATGAAACGGAATGTGTTTACTGCATTTTTCTAGGGAGAAGTTCTCAGCAGGCACGGGCATCTTAAAGACCCTGTGATGCCCAAAAGGTTAAAGCTCTATTTGCTAATGACAGATAGTAAGTTTGGAGGATTGCTTCAGGTGCAGCATTTTATTTTGTGGGTTGTTGGCCTGTAGGGAAAAACATTTTGAAATTGTAGTTAAGGAATACCACTTCAGTTCATCAAATTAAAAAAATTATGGCAAATAAGCAAAAATCTATTTCTAAAGAACTACATACAATATATTCTTACAGAAAATTTTAGATTAAATGCATGTAACTGTTTTTTTGGTTTGCCATGTATTGAAAATGGATGGATGGGGGATTACATTAGTTGATGTATTTATTTATTTATTTTTGAGGCGGAGTCTCACTCTGTTGCCCAGGCTGGGGTGCAGTAGCGCAGTCTCGGCTCGCAACCTCTGCACCCTAGGCTCAAGCAACACTCGCACCTCCACCTCCTGAATAGCTAGGACTACAGGTGCACGCACCATACCACACCTGGCTAATTTTTGTATTTTTTTATAGAGACAGGGGTCTTGCTATGCTGCCCAGGCTGGTCTTAAACTCCTGAGCTCAAGCAATCTGCATGCCCAAGCCATTGGCCCATCTTGGCCTTCTAAAGTGCTGGGATTACAGGCGTGAGTCACCATGGTCAGCCCATATTAATTTAAAGTAGGCTTCAAATATAATTATTCACTAATTGGGAATGCCTGGGGATGTATATGAATGTATTACCGTTTTGTGAGTAGTAGTGTGTGCTTGTGTTCATGGATGGCATTCATCAGAATGTTTGCAATGGTGTAGCCAGGTTACACTGCCATCTTCCTGTTCTCCTTTGTGCTTACTTGCTCTGCCTGTATTTGCTGCAGTTTCTAGCGAGTGTATGTAGGTGTTGGCCCAGAACTTGCTTTTGTAGAGATCATACATTGTGCTAATTTATCCCAAATCAGTTTTTGTGTATTATCTGTGGGCCCAATGTGTAATTTGAACTTTAAGGATACTACTTCAGACTGCAGTGTAGCATAACCTTTAAAAAAAAAAATGCTAGTTTTGCCCTAATCTGTGCATATTCCAGTTGTTCAATGGGTATTAGTAATACATGAATTACTTCTGTGCCCTTTTTGGTGTAGAGTCTCATATGAATAATTACTGTTATTTAAAACCCACGACTCCATGCATTGTTTTGGTGGGAGAGGGTAGTTTCCCATCATGTTTTACATATATGTTAGCATTCAGATTTTCCTTTTTAGCCCACTCCCTACTGAACTGAAGGGAAAGGGCGTATTTGAGAGAAAACATATGCTTTACTCAGGTTCCAATAATTAAGCCAATGCACTTGATTTAAGTTATACATTTAGCTCATTCTTAAAGTGTAATAAAGACTTTAAGCCTCCTGGCTCCCAAATCAGTGCTTTTTCTACTAAACATTCTTTCTGTCTTGCTAAAAAAATCCAATTTTCAGAATCAAGTTAGTTGCTAAGCAAATATGCATAAAACCATACATTTATCTGAATTGTTTCTAATTTAAGGAGTAGTATATAAAAGTTTCAACAGAAATCATTGATTAGTAAAAGTGATGGAAAATCAGCAAAATAAAAATAGAATTAGAGTAGGCTAAAAGGCCCTTCTTTAGGGTAATCGGAAAACTGAGTTCAAATATAGGGTCTGGGACTTCTCAGGTGATATTTTATCTTAAATTAGAATCTGCATGAGGTAGGGTGGGGCCACTCATGCCTATAATCTCAGCACTTTGAGAGGCCGAGGCAGGAGCGTCCCTTGAGACCAGGAGTTCGAGACCAGCCTGAGCAACATAGCAAGACCTTCTCTCTATTTTTAAAAAACTAAAATTGGATTTAAATAAAGAATCTGCATGAACTTTCTTGTCACTTATTCTTACATATTATTTGCCAGTGTGCGATACTTAATAACCAAGTAAGACACTTGAAATGAGTCTTTTAAGGCTACAACTTAGGTAACATTTTATAAATATTACTGCTACATACATAATACAGTAACTTTTTTTAGCCTCACAATAATACCTTGTACAATTTATAACTGCTAAAGGGCCTATAGAAGGCTACCCACCTATGTAAAAAAAAAAAAAAAAAAAAAAAGGTCCTAGCTCTGTCTGGTGTAGCTTGGCAAATTATTTTTGATATGAATTGCCAGGAATATAGGGGTATCATTCCTTGCTGATAAGAGCACATACCCTTCCTTTGCTGGCTAAGCTATGTGATTCTGTAGGACCTTAGTGTCATGGCCATCCTTTCAGTAGTAAGCAGATTTAGAGAAGTTGTCCCATTGTTACCTTATTTCAATAGTTTTTGGTCTTTCTATATTGTGCATAACCTCACTTAATCAGATTGTTATGACTGTTTCCCCCCAGGAAGTATAGGAAGATAAAAAAAAAAAAAAGCCAGGCCAGATATATATGACTGAACGTGAGCTCAGCAAATGATATAGGTGTCTTAAACATACTTTCTTTTTTTTTTTTTTAAAGGGAGGGGTTCTGGCTCTGTCACCCAGGCTGGAGTCCAGTGGCTCAATCATGGCTCACTGCAGCCTTGACCTTCCCAGGCTCAAGCGATCCTCCTGCCTCAGCCTTCTGAGTAGCTGAGACTACAGGCATGCAGCCCCACACCCAGTTAATTTTTTTATTTTTATTTTTGTGGAGACACCGTCTTGCTGTGTTGCCTAGGCTGGTCTTGAACTCCTGAGCTCAACCAGTCCTCTCACCTTGGCCTCCCAAAATGCTGGGATTACAAGCATGAGCCAGGGCACTTGGTCCATATTTTGTTTCTTAAAGTCACAAGTTAAAGCTGGAGGTTTCACCCAGAATCAAAGTGCCAGGTAGCATTTTAGTCCAGCCTAGGATAAGCAGCTGAGTTTCCATGAACACAGTACAAGAATTCAGGGATATCACTTGCTAAATGTAAACCAGTTACCTCCGTAATTTCCCAAAAATTTTATTGTGACAAACGAGTGCCATACTCTGAACATTAAAGGCTTTTACCTCCAGCTGTCCAAACATTGTGCATGTTATTCGGGTAGAGGCACTGGTATGGTAGGAGTTTCTCCTTTAGTGTCTTGTAATTGACAACAGATCCAGCATTTATGGAATGTATTGTTATTGTAACTTTTGAGTTTCCATAGCCAAGAACGTAAGAGTAATAACTAGGTATAGTCCATTATTTTTAGTAAAGTTAGTTTTAGTTAGCCTTTGATGGTAGACACTTCTCAGGTTATAATTCAGACTCAATAACAAAGCCAGAAAGTTCAGGAAGGGTAGGGTAGTGCTGTGGTCTGAATGTTGAAATCCTAACTATCAAGGCATTAGGAAATGGAACCTCTAAAAGGTGATTAGATCATGAGGGCAGAACCCTAATGAATTAGTACCCTTATAAAAGAGACCCCAGAGAACTGGTTTGCCCCTTCTGCCTTGTGAGGTTACAGCAAAAAGACCATCATATAGGAAGCAGGACCTCACCAGACACCAAATCTGCCAACGCCTTAATCTTCGACTTCCCAGACTCCAGAACTGAGAGATATAAATTTATTAAGTTTATAAGCTACCCAGTCTTTGGTATTTTGTTATAACAGCCCAAACTAAGGTAACAAGAAGCAATCCTCACAGTGCTTGCTTAATGTCATGCACCTGTCATTCTAGTGGTGCTCATTTGCCAGTCTTTTTTTTTTATGAAAGAAATTAGCAGTCCTGCTTTCTCTTGTTTTGAGTGACAGGTCTCAGGTAAGGATTTATTTTCCAGAAAGAAAGTGACTAAATAGATTCCCTCCAGAAAGATTTTCAGATCAGTAGATCTGCCTTAAACTAATGTAGTCTTTGGACCCAGTTCAGAAGTGGCCAAGGCCAATCCTCAATGCATGAAAGTAAAAGTTAGACTGTATTTAAGGGAGACAAATTACTAGTTAGGAACCATCGAATGAGGTCAGAGGCAAGACCTTACTAACAGATGGGCAAGTTAAATGCTATCTTCTGAAAATTTTAGTTGCTTCATGATGGACTCATTTGGAGCATATCTGGAAAGTTTTTTGGACATGTCTAAAACACGGGGTTGAATTTTCCTTACAAGCCAGGGTTAGGACAGGAGGTCGACCTGCTGTCTAGATAGTCTCAGCACTACCAGAAGCTATTTGTAAGCTGTACTACTAGTCTGGTGACTCAAGTAGGAAGTGTCCAGGAACCTTTCTTCTAGACACTGCGAGAAACCAAAGATTAGTAATAAGAAATTGTTTGATAGACAAGATGAACATCTTAAAGCATAGATTCAAGACAGAGGACCTTTGTACCTGACAAGTACTCAGGAAGACTTGAAAAGGGCCCCCGCAGGTGAGTTTCAGGCTCTGTCTTCCACTCATGAACCTGCAAAATCCAATCCTTGCTGCTGAAGATTTCTTAAGAAAAATGAACAGTGTACCTGGCCACTTCAGTGTCTTTAGAATCCCATCTTGGTGTTATACTTTGCCTATTGATTCTAGATGGAGAGGTATCAAATGCTTTACAAAATCTCAAGGAGTTATAAACTACTTTTACAATCTGTGTTATAAAGTGTATTCCCTGGTTATTATAAATAGGCAAAATGCTATTCCAAATCTAACAATAAAGACTTTTGCCAATACTCATTGTTTCAGCTTTCAAATATGTTAAGTATGTTTTCTACCCATCCTACAAAAGTATACATAATCACTAAAACTTATGAACAACACATATATGATATTAACCTGAATATTTACAGAGAGCTCCCCGGAGGGATGATTTTATTTATTATGTTAATTCTCTATTTGTTTAGTTTGTGACCTGATCTTAATAGTAACAAGTGAATGAGTTAGCAGAGGAAATCAGTTAATAAATATAAGAGCAACAATGCCTGTGAAGAAGTCACCACATGGGCCAGGCACAGTGGCTCATGCCTACGTCTGTATAATCCTAGCACTTTGGTAGGCTCAGGTGGGAAGATCCCTTGAACCCAGGAGTTTGAGACCAGCCTGAGCAACATAGCAAGACCTTATCTCTACTAAGAATAAAATTAAAAATAAAAACATGAAGAAATCACCACAGCCTTAGTTTAGTAACGATAACAGTATTTTGTAATATCCACAGCAGAGGAGACTAAGGACTAGATATTTTAGCTCCTCCAGAAGCGAGGAATGTTTATTGTTTTTACAATTGTCTACAATCAAGAACTACCCAAAAGCTTGAGGAGCATCAGTCATTTATGACTTTTCAGAAGTTAAAGTATCATCTCAGGTGAGGACAGCACTTTCTGCCACCTAGGAAGAATATGGAGAAAGCAAAATTTTTTACTACTTTGTCTTAAGAACAGACTGCATGTCTAGAAGCCAATTTGGTTTTTTTCTCCAAGCTGCCAGTTCCCTCTTCAATATTATACAGTGTTTTGTTTTGGTCATAGCACCAATTACTAATTTAAATGAGATTTAACGAAACTCTTTCAATAATAAATAATACATAACAAAATACGTGTGTGACCATATATTTGCAAGAAAGGGGTTGTGCCATGAATCTTTTTTTCTCAGTTTAACAAATAAATTTGCAAAGGCAACTTTCAGGAATCAGAATGTTATTTTAAATATTATTAACAAGACAACAAATTATTCAGACAACTAATCAGAATTATAGACTTTAAACTTACGTTATTTTTCACAGAATATAGCAACACTGAAATCCAGGCGTCCAGGAAGACTATTTTACTTGAAATAATATTTTTAAACCCAGTTTTATGATATAGAATAGAATTCTATTTGCTTTTCTGCAGCTTTAGGGAAGAGGGGACATTTTCCCCTTTTGATATTGCTGGTTTTTTTTTTTTATTTTAAGAAAACAGCAATTAGAAGTGTCTAAATATCAGATTTCCATTAGCTAGCATCAAGAGAGAAGAGTAGGTACAAACTTAAAATTCAGAAAAGGACAGAAAGGGCCAGGCATACTGGCTCATCCCTGTAATCCCAAACTTGGGGAGGCTGAGGTAGGAGGATTGCTTGAGGCCAGGAGTTCAAGACCAGCCTGAGTGACGAAGCAAGATCCCGATCTCTACGGAAAGATCAGCCATTCCTGGTGGCTCGCAGCTGTAGTCCCAGCTACTCAGTAGACTGAGGCGGGAGGATTGCTTGAGCCCAGGAGTTCAGGGCTACAGTGAGCTGTGATGGCACCACTGCACTCCAGCTTGGATGACACAGCAAGGCCCTGTATCAGAAAATAAAGAGAAAAAGGACAGAAAGATAATGCTAACAAATGGAATATGGAGCATATAATGTCTTGCCTCTACATGTAATTAAGAATAGAAGTAAAATTTATCTCAGATTAAGATTTTTTTTGAAACAATCTCAACAGTCTATATTCAGATAAGACAGATTTTAATAAAATTATATATGTCAGTCATCTGTTTCAAAAATTTCAGGGCTATTTTTAGTCTTTATCAAGCATAACTTACAGTTATAGATAGTTGTGGTTTTAGAAGCTATTCTATTTGTTATTCCCTCTGTATCCCTTAATCCCATGCCTCAAATTATTTCAGAATACTTTCCCAATAAATGTACTAACTTGTTCTTTTGTATTCCAAAAATGTGAAAGGTGTTAAAAGTTTGTGTTTTCAGTGCCTTTGGAAACACTTAAAAACGCATCTTTGAAATTGTGTGTCCAAACCAGTATTTCCCAAAATGTGCCATGATCTGTTTATAGGTGTTGAGTTAAATATATGTATACACACATATATTATATACACATATATATGTGTGTATACATGTATACACATATATACATGCATATGCACACATATGTGTGTATACATGTATGTGTGTACACATCTATGTATATATACACATATATGCACACATGTGTATACATATATACACTATGTATATATACACATAGATGCATATATATGTATATACACATATACACACATATGCATATATATGTATATACACATATATGTATACACATATGCGTATATATGTATACATATATACACATATGTATACATATATACACATATATATACATATATATGCAGTTACATAACTTTGAGAAATGCCAAGTTAAGCAAAGTTAGAGTTCTTTACTACAAGACTTCTCAGTGCCTTTAATGTCCTCCTATGTTATCCTCTGGGTATATTCTATTTTCTAAATCAACCTACCTTTTTACTAGGATTGGTGTTCCAAGGAAAATACTGGAAAATGCTGGTCTAAATATTGTTAAAAATTGAACTCAAGTGTCTAAAACCAGAAGTGCCCAATCCTTTACTAGAGTGTGAGCTCCTTGAGGACAAGGGTCTGTACTCATTCTTTGTAATCCCATCTTGCATATAACCAATATAATGCTCAATATATATTATTGAATATATTAATATAAATTTAATATAACTGTTGAGAGTCAATTTGTAATGCAAACCTAATAAGCTCCTGATTTGATAAAGTTAGTTATTATGAAATAACTTGTGTATTTTCATGCATATTTGTTTTTCTTCTCTATACTTGGAAGAAATAGAACATTTTAAAATGGACACTATTTTACAGGTTCATATTTTAAGATGGTGATCAGCTATTTTTATCTGTTGAAAAGTTGTAGACCTAACCTTATAAAAGATCTGTTCATAGACCATGAAGCATTTCAAAACTGTGAGGTAGAGAAATCAGGGTATTCTGATTCATTTCATTTCACTTCAACATTTACCCCTCTGGGAATCTGAAACTTTTTTCATAGTCTTCTACTTCACTCTCAACTCCTACCTCCCAAAAAGATAATTTATCTACTTATGTTCCCACTGCTTTCTAGAGTTCATATAGTTTCCCAGAATTTGCAGCATCTCCCCGACTCTTTCCTGTTACTTCATGTTATAGAGCTTCTCCAAATGCTTTCCCATAGGTTTCCTGCCTCATCTGCCAGAGACTTCTTGTAGTTCTTCAGAATTTACTGGATGTGCTAAAGAGCATTTAAGTACACATTTACAAAATGAAGGAACTCCACTGCTGTGCAAGTAGTAATAGGTCTTCAGATCCATGAAGCAAGGACATTTGGAGAAGTCTCAGTTATCAAGTATGATACCTATTTATGGGGAATGTAGAGAATTTTGCCATCTTTCTTATTAGTAGAAAGAGAAATTTGCAGATTCCTTAGAGATTTAGGGGCGTTTAAGATAATCAAAGAGTTTTGTATATTGCAGTTGGGGATCTAATCCATACTGAAGACCATAATCTATAATAAAGCGTCAGAAGCAAATAGGAAATAGAAAATATATGAAGGAATTATTTGAGTTTAGAGGAAAAGAAAACCAGCAAGAATACTGCTATCTAATCATTAAATCAGTTTAAGATAGACACATTGGGAATGTCTGGTAAAACGTGTTCTTAATTAGATTATAATGCTTTTTAGAGGACCCTTAATAGGTATTGTGAAACTCATATTTTGGCAATTTGAGCATCCTTTTTGCAGAATTTTATGAGAATTTCTTTGTAAAAGAAAACTTTTAACAAGGACTATTTGATACAGAAAAGTGTTACTAATGGAAATTTCAAGACTTCCTGCCTTGATGCTCTTTTAAATTAGAGGTTCATGCAGTAGCTTAAATGAGCAAGTCTTATAAACAACTGGAGAGTTCTTTAATATCCCTTAGAACCAGATGTTTTGTTGCTGTTACTTTTTTTCTATCTCCATTCAAACTACCCATGGATGTGACAATGTTAGCCAAGCAATGTGCTAAGATAAGAAGCTGTTTGAAGAAGGCACAGTGCCTTAAGTTTTGGAGTTCATGAGTGGTGGGAAGGAGGAGTGGACATAGGAGTAATTCTACTATAGTATGATCAAGGAGTATGATGCAGGTATTGGCTCTGCCTGGAGAAGTCTGGAAGCTTTATAAGAATAGTGTGTCTTAAAGTAAGAATGTTCATTGTTCTGATTAATGGGGAAGGGAGGGCTAGGATATTCAAAGACCCAGAGGCACAAAAGTGTATGGCATGCTTTGGGAATGGTGAATGGCCCACTGAATGAGCCCATTTTGTGGGAGTGAGGGCGAAAAAGAAGCCAGAAAGCTGTATTGAGGCCAATCTGGGATTTGGACTTTTTTCCCAAAGATTATATTATTCTCAGTCATTTTTCTTGTGCTACACAAATGATAGACATACACATGTGCAGGGTTATGTACAATTCCTGGGCCCTAGGCTTTCCTGCAGTGAATTCCATCCCATTCAAGCATATGAAAATACATGAAGGGGAATTACACTATTATAGATAATTGCAGATAGATACAGATTTGACTGTTTAAACATATGTTTAACTTTTAGAATTATTGCTTATTCACAACTGGTGAAAACAGTTGTCTTGACAGAGATTGAGAACAGGAGGTGACTTGTAAGGAATGTAGTAAACCACTATCATGACAAAACAGGAAACTGGAAGCAAGGGGTTCATTAACAGAATGAGAAAACAGAGTAGATATAAGGAATATTGCAGTACAATTGAGAGAACTTGATCGATTTCCAAGACTCATAACATACTCTATGTGTGGGTCATTCTTCGTTACAACAGGACATATTTCAGTAAATGTTTTGCCATGGGGGGCCTCTTTGAAATGACTGCTTAGGCCATGCCCAAAATGCCTATAATTCCAGCAATTTGGGAGTCCAAGGCGGGAGGATTGCTGGAGACCAGCAGTTCAGACCAGACCGGACAACACAGCGAGACCCTATCTCCAAAAAAAAATTAAAAATTAGCTGGGCATGCACTTGTGGTCCTAACTACTTCAGAGGCCAAGGCAAGAGGGTCACTTGAGCCTGAGAGGTCGAGGCTGCAGTGAGCCATGATTGCACCACTGCACTCCATCCAGGTGACAGAGCAAGACCCTGGCTCAAAAAAAAAAAAAAAACCCCTCCCACCCCCCCGCCCAAAAAAACCTGGCTGCTTAAAACACACACTAAAAAAAATAAATAAATAAATAAAAAATAAACTCTGACCCTTCTTATATTCCTTATCCCTGATGATCACATGCTTCCCTGCATCCCTGAATTTAAAAGATGAAACACATGGCACATGCCTGTAGTCCTGTAGTCCTACCTACTCCGTAGACTGAGACGGGAGGATACCTTGAGCCCAGGAGTTCAAGGCCAGCGTGGGCAACATAGCGAGACTCCATCTCTTTAAAAAAAGAAGTGAAACACAATTTTGAGAAGTGAGGATGAGTTTCTGTTGCATACTTTACTTGGTAATTAAAAAAACTTAACTATTAAAGTAAGATGGTGGCTTATGGCTATAATCCCAGCACTTTGGGAGGCTGAGGCAGGAGGATCACTTGAGCCCAGGAGTTCAAGACCAGCCTGGGCAACATAGTGAGACCTTGTGTCTACAAAAAAGTTTTTTAATTAGCCAGGTGTGGTGGCACCCACCTGTAGTCCCAGCTACTTGGGAGGTTGAGGCGGGAGGATCACTTGAGCCTGGGAGGTCAAGGCTGCACTGAGCGATGATCATGCTGCTCTACTCCAGCCTGGGCAGCACAGCAGGCCCATCTCAAACAAATGAAAACACTATTTGCTGTCATCTATTAAAGTCCATGTTTATTTAGGTAAAAAATATTCTGACAAAACTCCACTTGGATTGACCCTAACTGGAGTATTAAAGCATTATAGGCTAGGCATGGTGGCTCACACCTGTAATTCTAGCACCTTGGAGGCCAAGGCAGTAGAATCACTTGAGCCCTGGAGTTCGAGAGCAGCCTGGGCAACATAGTAGAACCCTGTCTCTGCAAAAAATAAAAACATCCAGGTGTGGTGGTGTGTGCCTGTAATCCCAGCTACTCAGGAGACTGAGAAGTGGGGATCACTCGAGCCCAAGAGGTCAAGGCTGCAGTGAGCCATGATCATGCCACTGAACTCCACCCTGGGTAACAGAGTGAGACCCTGTCTTTAAATAAATAAATAAATAAATAAATCTAAGATGCCAGCCATCTTTGAATTTATGTAAGCCAAACGTTATTAAGTGAAGCATGACTGTATTTTTTTTAATGAACTTGAACCAGATAGAATGTAGGTGTTACAGAAACTAACTGCGAACTACTATCATTTATGATAAATATATACAGTCATGTGTCCCACAATGACATTTCAGTCAATTATGGACCATATTTATGGCAGAGTCCCAAGAAATTATACTATTATATTTTTACTGTACCTTTTCTATGTTTAGCTATGTTTAGATGTGCAAATACTTACCATGGTGGTACAATTGCCTACAGTATTCAGTACAGTAACATGCTGTACAGGTTGTAGCCTCAGAGCAATAGGCTCTACGATATAGTCTTGGTGGGTAGTAGGCTATACCATCTAGGTTTGTGTAAGTACACTCTGTGTTTCCATAATGACAAAATTGCCTAATGATGCATTTCTCAAAATGTATGGTCATCATTAAGTGATGCATGACTGTATAAGAAAAAGTATCTATTTGTTTTAAAGTTGGCTCAGACACACATGGTAGTGAAAAACATTGAAAACATTTGAATGTTTATTGATTTGGTATCTAGCTGTAATCACCTCTGGATTCTATCATGGCATCTGGGTGTCTGAGCAGAAGAAATCCTGGATCATGTGACTTATCCATAAAGAATAGATTCTACATTTAGATCTGATCACGTGCACAGAGTACCTACCCTGTGCCAGGCACATTTGTGTATGGTATTTCATCTAGTCACTCACAGATTATTAAATCAGCTATAAAAAGATAAAATGCTTTTACTTGAAATAAGATTAATGTTCCCTGAGACCCTGCACTATAAAATAATTGTTTTTTCCAGCATAGTCATTTATTACAGTTAAAGGAAAATGTTATAAAACATTTGGATATTTCTCATATGCTCCTTGCATAAAGTAAGCAGATTTATATTTATTTCAATATGATCAAACCCTAGAGCTTAAATGCTTTCTTTTGTATATAATTTATACTATATAAATATTTAAATATACAACAGTAATAGTTAATATTTAAGAATAGTAAATATTTAAATATACAAGAGTTGTCCAAAACAAAAATAAGAGTTCTGGATCTTACTAGCTCCAATACTACTTTACTTTGAAATATTGAATGAGTGATTTCATATTTCTAATATTATTTATCTTTAAAATTGGGAAAAAATATCCTACTGAATATGATTAATTGAGAACCCTAGGTACAAAGTATTCCTTAAATTTGAAGTGATAACTACTGAAAGTGTATCCCAGAGGGAAATGGTCTAGGTTGGAAGATATACATATGGTGGTCATAAAGAACATTCAGCCTCATTGGACTTCTAAAAATATTTTTTTGCTGTGAGTGATAGCCTTTTTTTTTTTAATTAATTTTTTTAACTGCTCCTTACAGAGCAGGGCTACTACACAGGCAGTGTGCCCAGAGTATCCACCAAGCCTTTATTTAAGAGCTACATTTTTAAAAGCAAATATTGGTCTTTAGGGTTCTTTGCGAGGAAATAATACCGCGTGGAGGTATTTGTGATTCTTATATATTGACTCCACAATGGCAGACAATTATCTCCATCATTTGGATCTGAAGCCTATCAAGACATCTAATGTTAATTAGGGCCGGTGCTAGAAATCATGAAATATAGCTCAAAAAAATAGTCTGTGTCTTGAGGTCTCGTACTCAAGCTAAAGAGAAATATAAACATTGATAAACCAATTTGAATATAAAACATGTAAAATCTAGTTGTAATCATTTTCTCCATATTTTACTGTTTTATGACATAACTTTCAAATCCTGGCTGTAATTGTATATTTGCTAATATGTTAATGCTTAACCTTATTTCTACTAAGTTAGGAAAAATTTCATAGAGGAAAGAGAAAATCAGGATTTTTAAATGAGGAGAGGAAGGGTGCTTGGTAAATATAAAAAGAGATTATTCTGGTTTACTGAAGGAATGAAGAAGAGAGACTCTAATGAATGGTTAGAATAGTTTAGCAGTAGACTTGAGAGAGATAAAACAGGAATAAAAATTAGATAGATGACAGAAAACTGACATATGCTTCTTAACAGATTTGTTGATGATTTTTGAAAAGGGAAAATTTTAGTCATTTGTATATGCCCAGAGGAGAGGAAAGCTGGAAACCAGTGAAGAAGCGGGAGCAGTTAGAAACAACATATATGGGGAATTTAGATAGTAGGACACTCAGAAAAGAATAGATCTTCGAAGTGTTAACAAGTTAGTGTCAAAAATTACTCTAAGGCCCCATTAACTAGTACCAATGACTGCAGAGCCTAGCATTTTAAGATGTAACCACTGTCATGATGTTTCTTTAATTTTGCCACTTCCTGGTCTCTTGGTACCTTCTCTGGACACTCTTATCTAAAATAGCTTGTTTATCATTTGTCTCCCAACCCATAGTCCATTAGAATGATATAAACTCCATTTGGTTAATAATTTCTCTCTTTCTATTTTTATTTTATTTTATTATTATTTTTGAGACAGGATCTCATTCTGTCACCCGGACTGGAATACAGTGTTATGATCTTGACCTTCCAGGCTCAAGCAATCCTCCCACCTCAGTCTCCAGAGTAGCTGTGACCACAGGCATGCACCACCACGTCTGGATAATTTTTTTACATTTTTTAGAGACAGGGTCTTATTATGTTGCCCAGGCTTCTGTCTCTCTTTGTATAGCTATATCCTTATTGCTGAGAATAATTTTTAAAGAATTCTAGACCTAGCAATCAGTGTCTTGAAATACAGCCTCTCAGTTGGATATTTAGGATCCATAAATGAGAATGAAATAATCTTAAATTTGTCAGGGACTGCAGAGGTCATGCAGCCTGCTGTTTTTTTACTACCTGCTATGGGTATTTGAGGAAGATTTCTACTACTTAAGTCTTGCCTCAGCTTTGGGAATGACAATTGAGATTTAGTGCTTTTCTTCTCTTTCCTTCTCTTTTCTTTCACTTTGGGATCCAATGTGAATAATTTAACTAGTTTTCCAGTGTGATAAAACTGATCTAGTCCAATCTCTCACCTTATGTAGACATTCCTTCTATGGGATATATTTCCATGGGTCCCATCTGGGAGTAAAGAGCACACTGTTGGGGTGTGTCTGTCTGTATGTGTGTGTGTTTCATCCAACAAGTATTTATTGATTGGCTACTATGTGCTAGGCTAAGGACACAGTGATAAAAAGACACATTCCCTGCCCTTACTGACTTTCTAATGGAAATTTTGCTAGCAGCAAATGAAGTCTCTAAACTTTTTTCCTGTCCTCTCTTTATTCTCAAAGTTCTTTTGAAAGAAATGCAGAATAGTGGGAAGAAATAAAGAACAATGAGAGTTAAACTTCTACTAAAAATGCCCACTTTTAGTTTGTAGGGGTTTTAAATTCAGACCAGTTCAGTTCAACAAACACTGCTGAGCATCTCTAGCCCTTGGCTAGATCCTGAGCAATAAAAGCAATAAAATAAAATTATTATAAAAATAAAAATAAAAGCTGAAATACTCCCTACTCACAAGGGGGGAAATGCAAATGTATAAATACTCTTCAGTATGATAAGTGCTATATGTACCTGTTTTTTGAGAAATCCATTCCACTGGGTGGTCTAACTAATATAAAGTTCTTTCTCCTTTAATTTAAAATTTTTTCAAGACACGGTCTTGCTCTGTTGCCCATACCGGAGTGCAGTGGTACAATCTTGGCTCACTGCAGCCTCAACTGCCTGGGCCCAGGCAATCTTCCCACCTCAGCCTCCTGAGTAGTTGGGTCTACAGGCATGTGCCACCATATCCAGCTAAATTTTTAAAAACATTTTGTAGCTACAGGGTCTCTTTATGTTGCCCAGGCTTGTCTTGAACTCCTGGGCTCAAGCAATCCTCCCGCCTCAGCCTCTCAAAATGCTGGGATTACAAGCATGAACCACCACACCCGGCCAAGTTTTTTGTTATGTTAAACTAAAATCTGCTGCTTTTTAATTTCTGTTCGTTTGTCACAGGTTTGTCCTCTGAGCTCTTCATTTGTTTATTTGACCCGTAAACCTTTATTGAAGCACTACCACGTGCCAGACTTTGCCACATTCTCCTCATACACGTATAGTACATGATCCTTGCCTTCCAAAAACATTAAGATATAATTCTGCAACATGCGGAAGTTTCTTAACCACTCTATGCTCAGTTTCTTCACCTGCAAGTTGAGGGTAGTATTAGTTCCTACTTTCTAAGGTTTGTCATGAGGATTAAATAATGCATGCAGTGTACTTAATACAAAGCCTAGTACACAGCTTTCAACGAACGCTAAGTATTATTATTCATATGGTTTAAAACTGGGGTCCAGATATGTAAATTAGCAGTTTCAGGGTTGATTTGAGTGCCCTAACAGAAGTAAACACAGGGTGCTGTGAAAATATACCAGAGGGGCACCTAATCGTAGCTGGGGAGGCTAAGGAAACACTCTACAGGAGGTGAGCTCTGAACTCAGTGTTGATTTGGACTAAATAGTGGGGGTGGGAAAGACACAGGCAACTTAGGGAAAGAGGTTAGAGAGCATGGTGTTAATCAGGGGACTTCAGTAGTTTAGATTGACTACTTTCAGCAAAGCTAGAATACAAATGGCCTTGGATGCCATCCTAAGTAACTAAGAATGTGTCATGAAGGTAATGGGGAATGATCGAAAAGATTCTGCACAATTAAACTTTCAACTTTGGAAAGTCTCTCTGGCAGTGGTGTAGACAAAGAAGGCAGGAGAAAGGTGGGAAAACCAGTTAGAATGTTATTACTATGTTCCTACTGACAACTGTCCTAAATTAGGGCAGTGATGTAGGAGAGCAGGAGACTGATTCAAGAGAGAATTAAGACTTAATGACCAATTAGATGTAGATGTAGGAGGAAAGGAAGAGGAAGTATCAAAGTTAATTCTCAAATGACTGTCTTGAATAAGTGAATAAAGGTGATGACATTAGTTCATAGGGAAAATGCATGGAGGAGAGGGTGCCAGTAAGTTCAGTTATAGACATGTTGAGCTTCAGGAAGGCTAGGCACTTTAATATTCAGATCAGGAGCCTAGAACTGGCCCAAAGCTGCAGATTTGGGATTTGTTGACAGGTTTTAGTTGAAGCCATCATGCTTATCGTGTATAGAGGACGGTCTGCATTAAGGGATGATCAAATCACTGTTATATAAAACTTATAGGAGACATTGTTTTGGACTAGCCTCCTACACTGCGCCCCAGTAGACCAGACCAAACTATAATGGAGTCAATCATGCTAGGTGCCACATAATCAAACTGAACTCTAAAACAGGCCAGTTTTTCAAAATAAATAAATAAATAAAAAGTAAAAATAAAAAACAGGAAATTCATAGCAACCAATCAAAACGGGCCTGGTTTACTTGATTTGCCATGCTAAAGAAGTTCCCTCTATTTTAACCCTATAAGAAAAGTAACTTTGAAACAACCAATCTGCTTTTTGTTCTCTGTTTCTGCTTTCTTCAGCCTGTTTCTGTCTATAAAGCCAATTCCTCTGCTCAGCTCATCGGAACACTCATTCTTGTTTTATAGAATGCAGTGTTGCTCAATTATAAAATTGCAAATAAAAGGCAATTAAAGTATTTAAGCTAAATTTGTTGATTTTGTCTTTTAACACAGCTCATAATGTCAACTGAGAAAGAATGCCCTGGCATGTTAGAGGAAAAATCAAGAAATAGTACTGTCCCAGACACTAAGAAAGGAGAAAGTGGTTTGTTTTTGGTGTTTTGGTTTTTTGGGTTTTTTTGTTTGTTTGTTTTGTTTTGTTTTTGAGACAGAGTCTCGCTCTGTTGCCAGGCTGGAGTGCAGTAGTGCAATCTCGGCTCACTGCAACCTCTGCCTCCTGGGTTCAAGCGATTGAGAGGAGAATGTTTTAAAAGAAGTCCACAGTCACAAATGCTATGAGAGGATAACAGAAAATTGTTCTTGGGATTTAGCAACTAGGAAGTCACCGGGCTAGAGCTGTTTCAGAGTAGTGAAAGGGACCAGAAACTAGATTGCAAGAGATGGCAGCATGGATGGGAGGTTAGGGAGGAAGATAATGCCTGGAGGCTCCTTTTTTAGAATCTGTGAAGAGGAGAGGAGAGATAGTGCAGAAGCTGGAGGGTAAAGGGCGGGCCTGGTTTATTTAAAGATAAAGGACACTTGACCTCCTTTCTATGTTGACAAGTAAGAGCCTAGAAAAAGGGAGAGAAGATACAGAATAGAGTGTAAACAAATAATAAAACAGGATTCCTGAGAAGGCTGAAGAGGTGACATCCAGTGGAGGAATGTGTCTTGAAAAGGAAGAGGGAACACCTCTTCCACTAGCCAAAGTGGAAACAGATACATCTGAAGGGATTTGAAGTAACTGATGAGTTCTCTGAGGCCAAGTCATCTGACAGCATCAATAAAGGGGGTGGTGGGATTGAGGTATGGGAATTTGAAAAGAGGCATGGAAATTATGAGAAATGGCAGTGTTGCCATTTGGTGCCCAGTACTTCGTCAGTGTCCCACTTTAGTAACAGACATCCACAGTGACCTGCACCAGATGGCGTCTGACCAAAGGTGAGACCCATTGTCTTCCTTCAACTGTTAGTTTCCTTGTTTGGAATTCTGTTCTTTCACTAATGTAGCCTCTGATTGAATGAGCTTTTTTTTAATAGCTCATTCTACTAAAAGATCAAGAAAAAGGATTTATCCAGAAGCCAGGGACAGAGGAAAATTTGAGTCAGTAATGTTTACTGTTAAAAACAATGAACTACTTACATTATAAAAGTCAAGAATTAATTCAGAAATTATTAAAATGTAATAGGATACCTCCCTAAATGGTTTCCACATAGTGACAAACACAAGCAAGAATTAGTTGTATAAAGGAAGGCCCAGTTGATGTTTAAAAACATCTGTTGAATGTCTAATGCAGATGGCATAGACATCAAATAAGCATACTATTATGGATATGCCATTATACCCACCGGTTAGTCAGTCGGAAACAAAATTCAGCAATAGATGGATTTTGTTCATATTCACTCACCATCCCCTGTTATCCTACACCTGGTTGACACTCCAATTATAACTCCCTAGACCCTGAAGAACCCTAGAGTTTGCTCTAGGGTGCTCTAAAACCTACCGTTTGACTAGATCAGCTGAAAGTTATAACCAATCAGGATATGTTAATCTCAAATAGAGCTGCTTTTACTAAAGTACTATTTTGTGTTCAATGATTGGCTTGTATTATGGGGTGCAATAATAAAACATCTTCATAAAACATGTAGTTATGATTACTATATGCAAAGTAGGCATACATTTTGATTTGGGGAGGTAGTCCCCGTTTACACCTGTTGTCCCAGAATAGTGTCTAATAGTTCCCCTTTCACTCTTAAGAAAAGTCAGTTATTATATAATCAGTATGTTGTTGTTTTCATGATACAATGTCCTCTTATGGAACTTTGTAACTTTCATCTTCATTAGCATCAGCCATGTCTGTGTTCCTTCTGAGCAATTGGGTTGTTTTTACTATATACACATGGTGACTCATAACTGCTCAGGTTTCCCTTTTTAAGTTGGCCTTAAAAAGCTGGGAGGGAGTGGGGATTGGATGATGAGAAATTATTTAATGGATAACCTAAAAGCCCTGACTTCACCACTGTGCAATCTATGCATTTAACAAAATTACACTTGTCCCCCATAAATTCATACAAAAAAAAAGGAAAGAGGCCTGGTGTGGTGGCTCACACCTGTAATCCCAACACTTTGGGAGTGTAAGGTGGGAGAGGATCACTTGAACCCAAGAGTTCGAGACCAACCCTGGCAACATAGCAAGACCCTGTCTCTACAAAATATTTAAAAATTAGCCGTTTGTGATGGTATATGCCTTTAGTCCTAGCTACTCCAGAGGCTGAGGTGGGAGGCTCACTTTAGCCTGGGAGGTTGAGGCTGCAGTGAGCCAAGGTCTCACCTCTGCACTCCAGCCTAGATGACAGAGCAAGACCCTGTCTAAACACACACACACACACACACACACACACACACACACACAAGCTTAGGGCCAAATCTGCCACCTGCATCATAACTGTACAGAACTGAATACATGTTCATTTTAGTCTTCTTTTCTTTCTTCTTGTTCCTTTGTTACTCACCTATTTCTCATTTATATCTTGAATTTTATGTATCCTTGTCAGCTATCTTAAATTCTCTTTGAAATAAGGGAGTGAATAAAGAAGCAGAACACAAAACAAAAAATTACTACTTCTAGAACTTATCTGATATTATTGGATGACTGAAGAGTGGCTCATTCTCAGCTTGACTGTTTGTTTCCAATTTTTGTTTAATTCTTTGATCCATGATATCTTTTGAAGGGATTGTCAGATTGTGGCCAAATCAGATGCATTATTAAGGCTATGGAGATAGTGTGCTTTCAAGTTGATCTCTGAACAGTCTGCCACCTTAAAGTATTGCTGATAACATTTTTTGAATGGCTCTATCTTCTATGATTGCAGAGCTTGAATAGGGAGAGAGAATAGGGAGGCAATCTGGCTTCATGGAAAGAAGTTACATAACAGTTTATAATCGGCAAACCCTATCTCTGCCACTTACTATGTGACTTTGGAAAAATTCTTTACCTTCTCTAAGTCTCAGGTCTTTCATATGTAGCTTAGAGATAACATTACTTTGTTCTTTGAGTAAGTGAGACAATTTACATAAAATGGCTGGCATAGAGTTAGAAGCTCAGTAAATTGTTGTTATCTTTACAATTTATAAATGACTTAACACTAAGGATTTTGCATTTCATAAGAATTCTGCCACTTTTTCTCTTTTAACTAAAATTTGGAAATTAATTTTTTTTTAATTTCCAACTTTTAAGTTCAGGGGTACATGTGTAAGATGTGCAGATTTGTTACATAGGTAAACTTGTGCCATGTTGGTTTGCTGCTTACATCATCCCATCACTCAGGTATTAAGCCAGTATCCACTAGCTATCCTTCCTGATCCTCTCCCTCCTCCCACCTGCCACCCTCTAAGAGGCCCCAGTATGTGCTGTTGTCCCCCATGTGTTCATGTGTTCTCATCATTTAATTAAATTATTTGTGACATCTACTGACAGCATAACAAGATAGGTATTTTTGGCTCTTCCAGAGCTAAATGCCAAGGTACTGGATAAAACACAATATACAGACATACTTTTCAATGTATTGTGGAGCTTGCAGGAAAATAAGGAAAACCCCCAAGATTTCCAGCCACCCTCAACAAAAATAAACAAAATTTAAAAAAACACCAAACTGAAATCAGAGAAGTAGCTAAGTGAAGAACTGTGGCTGCTTTAGGCATATATGCCAAGATCGGGAACCTAGAGTCCTAGGAAGCATATGGAGGTGCAGGAAACCAGGTCCCAAGGCACATATACATTGGAGGAGTTAATTCTGAGACATCTTCCACCCTCGCTAAATAAACAGATACTAGAGGAGGCTACAGCCTCAGTGAATATGTGATATTAAAATAATAACTAATGTAGACATTAAAATAGTGGATACTAGGCTTAATACATGGGTGATAAAATAACCTGTACAACAAACCCCCGTGACACAAGTTTACCTACGTAACAAACCTGCACTTGTACCCCTGAACTTAAAAAAATGTTAAAAAGACAAAAATCGCATATATATATATATATATATATATATAATTACGGTACATATATGGCATAAATCTTTCAAAATTGAGGAAAACAATATTTGTTAGAGTCAGGAGACCCAGGGAATCCCAAGTGGGATTTAAAAATAAGAAATCCACACTTAGACACATCATAGTGAAACTGCACTACCACAAAAGCAAATAGAATATACTGGTAGGTTGGGCATGGTGTCCCACACCTGTAATCCCAGCACTTTGGGAGACCAAGGTGGGCAGATCACTTTAGGTCAGGAGTTCAAGACCAGCCTGGCCACACATGGTGAAACCCCATCTCTACTAAAAATACAAAAATTAGCTGGGCATGGTGACACGCACCTGCATTCACAGCTACTCAGGAAGCTGAGGCACAAGAATTGCTTGAACCTGGGAGACGGAGGTTGCAGTGAGCTGAGATCGCACCACCGCATCACTGCACTACAGCCTGAGTGACAGAGCAAGGCAAAAGAAAAAAAAGAATATATTGGCAAATAGCCAGAGAAAAAATCACCCTCAAAAGAGCAACAATTAGACTAACAGCAGACTTTTCAACTGCAGCAATAGAAACCAGAAGATAGTGAAGGATCTCCAAAATATTAATACTAACAGAAAATAACTTCCAACTTAGAATTCTGTACCCAGCAAAACCATCTTTCAAAAATGATAGTGAAATAAAAATGTTTCCAGACAAACAAAAATATTATAATTTGAAAGTTCTAAGCATAACAAAAGCAACAAGGAAAATAGCTATTTCCTTGCATGCCTTCTTTATGTATGGTCAAGAGAATAATTGAAATTTTAACAATTAAACTGACCTTTTTGAATAGCTGAAAGTCCTTATTTTAAGGAAGTCAAAATTAAGTTGTAATAGTACCAGCTAGAAAGTTAGGAACTATTGTGTCTTCTAAAAATCACAGTGAAAATGGGAAAGAAGAGGAAACTTTTTTGTTAAGGATGCATGTTCCCTACAACAGTTTTTCTAACATATGCTTTTTGTGGGAGGCTGAGGTGTCCTCTTTTAACATCTCTGTTTAAAAACCCAGTGTTAGACCAGTAAATTATATTAGACCAATAAAAATATAGGACATTAAATCTATAGAATACTATGCAAAATTTATATTCTGGTTCCACAGGCAATCAGGAATGATACATATGGCAATATCTCAAGAAAATTATTTCAAATTTGTCCTCGTAGATTTACAAGGTAGTTAGATTCAATATTTCAGTTGAAAAACATGATAGATAAGCATTCATTTGAGATAAGTAATGATCTTAGTATTAGCTAAAGATTTAGCCATTTATTCATCTCTTCTTAGTATATTTAGATAACTCTTTAGATAACTGTAAAATTCTTGGAGAAAGAATTTTTTCTATTCTTAAGGAAGAATAAAAAAAGTGTCTCCTGTTTCTTATTATTGAAGTTATACGCATATCTCAGTGGGAACGGGAAATATGCAAAGACAGTTTTGTATCCTTTTATATAAAAAATTACTCTTTCACTTGAATGTGATGACTGGAGATATTTTATGGTGGCAGGGTGCATACATAGTATATCTAATATAGCATAGAAAAGGGTTTTTTTTTAGCATCATCAATGAAGACTCTAAGCTTTCAAGGCCCTAGTAACATCAGTAAGAGGCTAGGGAAATTAATAAGCAAAATATTAACAGTAAACAGAAAAAAGATAAGTATAGGGCAGCAGTGTACAACAGTCAATGTGGTTACTCTTTCAAATTTCAGACCATGACCTTGGCTGCAGCTGGAATTTGGGCTCCTGGACAAAGTGATGGCAAAAGACAGCTACTTTGAGCCTTTTGAATTTAAGATCTGTGATACTATATATTGTGCTTACAATGAACAGTATTGACACTCAGTAAATAGAAAAGAATATATCATTTAATAATGATAATTTGAAAAATAGGCTAAGTCTCTGAATAAAGGATTGGCTAAGAAAGCAAAAAACATCAGTATGGTATCAAACACAATACTAAGGACAGAGGTGCTTAATAAATATTTGCCATTAACTATTACTTTGGACAAGTTATTATATTTTTGCACTTTATCTTTTCTAAATCAAAGTGATAACTCCTATAGTTTTCTAATTAGCAGGAGTTAATATTAGTGTTTGAAAAGCACTCTTTTCAGAGTCCCCAGAGAATAGGAATACGTGAAGAACTTTGTGTGGGTTTTTTTTAAGAGAGAAATGAAAAGGGGTGAGAAAACTTATACTCTATCAAATTTGAATTGTGCCGTGAAGGAAAAATATAGTTATGAAACAAAAGAAGAAATACAATTTTGAAACTTTATAGTAGTCCTGTGTCCTAGAAATGGTAAAGCTGGCTTATGATTTGGAGCTGAGAAAGAAAATTTAAGTAATATCTTTGTTGAATGATGTCATCCACTCCAGGACTGCGTGTTGTTGTTTTTTTGTTTGTTTGTTTGTTTGTTTCTGTGGGGAGGGGGTTGGTTGGAATATGTCATGGAGGAATTTCCAGCTATTGCAGTTTCCTTTAGCATGCTACTGAATGAAACTACTGATGGCTCAGAAGACAGCCAGCTCCATGTCTCCATTATGTGCATAGCACACCTTCACAAAAAAATTCTATTTTAAGAACCCCTTTTGGAATCTTTAAAAGCCATCAATATCTTTGAAATAGTAAAACATTTTTGTCGAGCAAAACAACTATGCTTCTCAACTTTTTCCAGTTAAAACAGCCTATGGCAAAAATGGTAATCTTTGTGCAGTAAAATGGGATAAACATAGGAGCTTGCTTACAGAGAAGACCATTCCCACCCAGTTTCCCCAAGGGCAGAGGGGATCAATAGGTTGGAACACCTGTAAGAAATTCAGGCACAAAGGTTGGGATGTTCTACTCTAGAATAGCTGTGGTGTTTGGCAAAGAACAAAGTTCCATGCATAGATGAGTCTTTTTTTTAGATGGAGTCTCGCTGTGTCACCCAGGCTGGAGTGCAGTAGTGCCATCTCGGCTCACTGCAACCTCTGCCTCCCGGGTTCAAGCGACTCTCCTGCCTCAGCCTCCTAAGTAGCTGGGATGACAGGTGCGTGCCACCACACCCGGCTAATTTTTGTATTTTTAGTAGAGACGGGGTTTCACCATGTTGGTCAGGCTGGTCTCGAACTCTTGACCTTGTGATCTGCCCACCTCAGCCTCCCAAAGTGCTGGGATTACAGGCATGAGCCACCGCGCCTGGCCTCAGTGAGTCTTTTTGAGGCTTTGTCATCAAAGTCTCAGTCAACAGTCCCAAAATAAATGTTGCCTGTTGCTGGGAAAGTGAGCAAGCCTTTTAAATAATTTTGCAAAGAACTGTGAGTAAATGACACTCTACTCAACTACAAAGAAATTGGCTGAGCATCCCAAGAGCAAATCTTGAAGAGCTTGATTGAATTTAAGACAAACATTTTAGTTTTTTTTGTTGCTTACTGAAAGAAAACAAACGACCATTCTAGAACAACAGGGAAAAGCCCATTCATGGCTTTGATAAATACCTGAGGTAAATTTTTGATGTAACTTAAGATTGAAGAAGAGGAGATTTGAGAGGATAACCACATAAACTGTCCAGTGATGGAGGAAATGATTCTGCAACTGAGGTGATAAAACTTCATCATGCAACTTGAATTGATAAAGTTTTATCAATTTCCCAGTAGGCAGAGATCCAAAAAACAAGAAACACTACAATCACCGATGTTACAGATGACATATATGTAGCTAAGGCAAAGACAACTCCTCTGTGTCAACTTCACAATCAAGACAAACAGCCTTCTCAATGAAATTTTAAGCAGAATTAAAGCTAACTTTTTGTTTTCTCTGAACAATTTGGTTTTGGTTTCCTATTTGTTTTTCAGAATGAAACTGTTAATTTTTGTATATAAAAAGGAAGACAAATCTTAGTAAAAGTATATTTTTTTAATTTTATGTAAGAAAATCTATTTTCAGTGCAATAAAATTAATTGTATGTGAATCTTTGGGTGCATGCTTCATGTGCGTTTTCTGCAAGGGAGGATCCATAGCTTTCATTTGATTCACAGATGTGTCTGCTCCTCCTCCCCTACTTTCCTCCACTTCAAACTTTATGGGTTACTAATATAGAGTATAGAGTACTCTAGGTCATACAACTCTTCCTTTGCGTGCCCAATAACCTAATTGTTATCACCACTCATTTGGTATTGTGAAATTAAAAAAAAAAAATTCCGAGCCCCCAAACCAACTGAAGAGACTATCTCTCAGCCAAGGGCATCCCAGAGAAACCTTGAAAACTGAGTTCCCAACCATGACGGGATGTGGGTAGAACATGCCTCATTATACCCGCTCCCTCCATAACCACCATAGGCTTTCTTCCCTAAGGGCTAAACAGAAACCAGCCCTTTAAACAACTTTATCACTGATAACCAACTGCCTGATGCCACCCCTTTCCTTTGCAGTTTCAGCACAACAAATTGATAGCAGCAGTAGCCTGTCTGGAGTGGCCACTGCAAAGACGGTGGCTACAGCAGGGCAGGTGGAGCCAGGGTCACAAGTTCCGTGGGGCCAGTGGGAGCTGGGAACAGGCAAGAGCCCTGCCTCCTACCGAGTTGGCAGGGCAGGTGCCTGGGCTCCCAAGTGCAGCTGCAGCTACCCAGCCATGGATCCGGACCTGGGCATCCCTGCACTCTCAGGGACCCGGGAAGCCCCCCTTCTCCCACAGGCTTGGAAGTGCCTGCTCCCACTCCCTGGCCTCTCCCAACTCCCAGGGCCTGCTCTGATTTCAGAGCAAAGTTGAAGCAAGCTGAGCCCAGGCACTGTCGTGACCCTGACAGGTGTGCACACGTTCAAGGCAGCGCTGACATGCTAGCCCTACAACTGCCTCAGCCCCCTCTGAAACTTTGGGCACCAACGAGCTCAGGGAGGCTGGGGGGAACTGAGGGTGGCTCGCCATGAGTCTGCAGGCACCCATTGGCACAAACAGCCTGGGCGCCCTGGACAGCATGTTGATGGCCATGGGAGGCAGACAGGTTCCTGGGCGGAAAGGGGCAGGTCCCTGGTGAAGCCCTACCTTCAAGCCATGGACAGCCTGAAACCTGGGGGCCAGGCTGTCAGTTCCAGCTGGAGTCCAGTCCAGAGTGAGAACTTAGGTGCTTTTTCCGGGCCCACCCATGGCCACACATGGAGCAATCAGCACACACTTCCTCCCTTCTGAGCCCATTAAAAACCCCCAGACTCAGCCAGACTCACACAGATGTCGGGACTACCAGCTACCAGAAGGAGCTACCACTCTGGGTCTCCTTGACTTGTCAGGACAACCTGACTGTGGAAAGCAGCTACCCACTTCGGTTTCCTGAGAGCTGTTCTGTCATTCAATGAAGCTCCTCTCTGCCTTGCTCACTCTCCAGTTGTCTGCATACCTCATTCTTCTTGTTCATGGGACAAGAACTCGGGACCTGCCAAGTGGCAGGACTGAAAGAGTTGTAACACAAACAAGGCTGAAACACACCCCCCCTTTCACCACACTACAGGCGAGAGAAGGAGAGAAGAGCTGCTGTGGCCCTTCTGGGAGACCAGACCTCAGTGCTCCCCAAGTCAGGGCTGTGACACTGTAACACCCTCTTTGGGGCTCTGCAGTTCCAGGCATCTTCAAGCTTCTGGGCGCTGTCATGTTCCCCTTGTTCACAGGGGAAGCTGCTTATGGTACATCTGGTCCAGCCGCAGCCTCACACAGAGCCCCACTTGTGCTGGTGCCTGGAGCCCTGCTGCAGCCAGCACATCTGGCTCTGTGCAGTGGCCAGACCCTGCGCTCACTCACTCACACTTTGCTGCCCCGCACCTGGCTCGCCCTTGGCAGGTGTGGGATTCTGGCCAATAGTGCCAGCCGAGTGCAGCCTGCCAGCCAAGTGGCCACAGCAAGCCCAACAGCCACAAGCAAAGCCCAAGCAGAGGCCCCTCTGGCCCAGAGGTTTCTGGCTGGTAAAGCGACACTGTAAGGATCTCATGACAAAATAGCCAGCATTTTTTCCAAGTAAGAGACCACCAACCATGGAGTGGTTCTGGCCAGTATGGAGAATGTGCAATGAGGGTTTTCATGTCCTCTACTTCACCTTTTGACATCAGAGGGTTGACAACTCCACCATCTGATCATGCTAATGAAGCCATTTTTGAACTTGGGTCTCAGGGAGAGGCATGAAGCTCAATTATGCATGTGCATGTTTCTCCTTTCATAAATATGACTCCTATAACTTATTGAATATATATATTTGACCCCACTCCCCACCCCATTCAGCATAAATTCCTGTTCCCTTTGCCCCTTTCTCAGTGTCTGCTTTCAGCTTCTAGACAGAGGCTATCCTCCCCAGCCTGTCAGAATGGCCACCATGCTCTCCTTTCCAAAATTATGAACCTCATTATTCCTCAGTTGATACTACCTACACTTTAGTATTGGGTACTCTAGGTTTATGACTCGTCTCAGCAATATGCATCTTAAAGGCAAAGAGATGCTTCTTATTCTAATTTAACTGATTGTACACAATGAATTTTTATTTGGTGCTAGCTTAATTTTTTAAAAACCTATTTTAAGACCAAATTGTACTGATACATATACTATCAAAAGAAAAACTTCAGACAAATTAAATTTAAGAGAGTTTAATTTAGCAAAGAAGGGTTCACCAACTGGGCAGCAGCCCAACGTGAATAGACTCAGAGCAATTCCAGCAATGCCATGTTGTCAGAGAGGATTTATGGATGGAAAAGGGAATGTGATGTATAGAGATTGGAAGTCAGGTGCAGAAACAGAAATAAGATAATCTGTGTTTATCTTATTTGAACAGGGTTTGAACAGTCTGTGCCTGTGAATGGTGCAAGTATGGCTGCTGTGATTGGCTGAGACTTCATGGCTGCTTGTTACAGGAGTAAGTTACAGCCTGTTTACACAACCAGTTAGGTTACTTCACCATGTATGGTGAAAGCTTTAGGCCGAACTTAAAATATGTAAAGAGGGAGCTATAGACTAAACTTAATTTAACAATACTTATCGGTACAGTGTACTAATTTTGCATCTTTGAGAATTTCAGTTACATTGGCTACAGATTGGATCCTAAGCACACCACATCTATTTCTATTGTGTATATCTGTGATATTGTGAAATATTTATTTGGTCTTTGTCCCATTTCCTGGCATAAAAATCTAAAAATCCTTAGAATGTCCAAAGTCGTGGGAGTCTTTTTTTACACTAATGAGTTGACTGATGGCTAGCAGTCCCTAGGTAGATTCAGGATGGGGCCTGGCCACTGGAAAGACAAAGGCAGGGTTAGAGGGTTGGGACTTTCAGCCCCACCCCCCCACCAATCTCCTGGGAAGGGAGAGGGGCTGAAGGTTGAGTTGATCACCAATGGCTGAGTTGAATCAATCACACCTATATAATAAAGTTTTTTTTTTGAAAAAAAAAAACAAAAAGGCTGTGTTTAGGAGCTTCCAGATAGCTGAACATGTGGAGGTTCCTGGGGTTCCATGCCCTTTCCCCCCCATACCTTGCCCTATGCATCTCTTCTCATCTGTATCCTTTGCAATAAACTGGTAAATATATTTTTTTGAGTTCTGTGAGCTGCTCCAGCAAATTAGTTGAACCCAAGGGAGGGGTCATGGAAACTCTGATTTATAGCTGGTTGGTCAGTGCACAGGTAAAATAACCTGGAGCTTGAGATTTGTGTTGGAAGTGGAGAGCAGTCACGTGGGACTGAGCCCATAACCTGTGGAATCTGAGGCTGTGTCCAAGGAGATAGTGTCAGAATTAAAATGAATTAGAGGACATCCAGCTGGTGTCCACTGCGGAACTATGGACATATGGGGGAAAACCTTCACACATCTGTTCTCCGAAGCACGTTGTGAGAGTATAGGGGGAAAGCTGAGTTTGTTTATTCCTACTGAGTTTATTTATTCCTACTGAGTTTATTCCTATATTCTCAATACCTAATGTAAATTCTAAGTATTATAATTTCATGGTATATATTCCTATTCCAGAAAAGCTAAATTCGCCTAGATTTTTGCCCATATTTTCCCCAGCACCTGGAATATTGCTTCAAACATATTAAGTTCTCAATAAATATTTGCTAAATGGGGTAAATGTAACAAATCAGTGGCAGATGGGTTACCTACAATGTATAGAGTTGTCTTTCCCTATGTAGTATAGTTATAATGACAGGTTGAAGAATGCATAGTCCTGGCTTTACTATTAATTTGCTGTGACTTTATTTTCCCTCTTCTTGTTCATGGCAGAACCTAAATTCTTAATTGAAGGGATTAGCAGGACTTAAAATAATAAAGGCTGAAAATTGTTACTGAGAGCTGTGTCACTATTGACTCTGTAAAGACATTGGTGTTTCTAAACCAAACTCTTTCTCTAATCGAAGAGACATTTTGTCTCTCCACCAAAGCTGGTCATCCATACAACAAACATAGTAACCAGTTAATAATTATCATACACTTACCATGTGCCAGGCACTGTGTCAAGTACTTTATATTAACCCCATTTAATCCTCACAACAACCCTATGAGGGAGTGATAGGATTAGGCTTTGTCTCCCCACCCAAAACTCATCTTGAATTATAATCCCCATAATCCCCACGTGTCAAGGGAGAGTCCAGGTGGAAGTAATTGAATAATGGGGGCAGTTACCCCCTGCTTTTCTTATGATAGTGAGTTCTCACGAGAGCTGATGGTTTTAGAAGGGGCTTTTCCCTGCTTCACTTGGCACTTCTTCCTGTTGCCTCGTGAAGAAGGTGCCTTGCTTCCCCTTCACCTTCTGCCATGATTCTAAGTTTCCTGAGGCCTCCCCAGCCATGCTGAACTGTGAGTCAATTAAACCTCTTTCCTTTGTAACTTACCCAGTATCAGGCAGTTCTTTATAGCAGTGTGAGAACGAACTAATACAGGGAGGTACTGTAATTATCTCCATTTTACACATGGGGAAGTAGATCTTAGAGGTGGTTATGCATTTTACCCAGTATCACACCCTTAGCAGTAGTAGAACTGAGATTTGCATCCTGGCAGTCTGGACCCAGAGCCAACACTATTGACTACTTCAGGTCTTTTCATTTAAGGTTGAGGCATGACAGTGACGAAGAGCTGTCTTCCTCTGCTTCCATGTTAATAACAGCAGGGCCAAATTTTCAACTGTCTAGTAAGAACTTTGGGGGACAATTTTATGCTTTGCTTTCCTTAAGCCGTTTGTAAGTGTGTTTAATATGATTTTCAAGTCTCAAAGTATAAGGTTAATTCTTTAATATTGCCTCATATTTCAGTGTGTGCAGTTGTGTGGGCCACTATTTGAAGGTGAAGTGTTACATAACGTCATTTTTAATCTTTATTTTTCACTTAAATAGGATATATTTCAGTATTACAATTAATGTCCTTCATGACTTTAAAGGATCAATGCCAAGTAGCACTGTTTCCAAAATTAGAATTTTCCAGAGTTGGCATAATATCAGTTGGATAGTATTTTATAATTTTTGGGGGGAATATAAGTATGAGAACCTCACAATTGTTCCCTTCAATTTCTCCCCTCTAGGCCTTTATACTATTGTTGCATGTATTTTTCTTATGCATGTTATACTGGCACATATTTTTTTGCCAGGGTACGTACACTTTAAATCCATATTACAGGGATATTATTTAAACATAATTTTCTATATAGAGATTTGCATATAAAACTATGTAAGTGCACAATATATATCATTTTTAATTCTTTCTTACTTTGGCACTTAATTTTTAGAGCTTGTATTATATGCCTTAACTCCTTGATGAGATTAAAAGTAGCATTTTGTTTAAAACATAACAAAACAAAAACAAAGATACTCAGACTCACATTGTGGTACACAGTATTTTAATAAGAAGTAACTTCATGTCTATTAAAGAGGCCTTAAAAATATTGTTTCAACACCAAAAAAACCTGTAGTGTATTATAATAAACTCTATGTATTTACCATGCATTTTGTACATTTTTATTTATTTTATTTTTATTTATTTATTTATTTTTGAGACAGAATCTTACTCTGTCACCCAGGCTTGAGTGTAGTGGTGCAATCTTGATTCACTGCAACCTCTGCCTCCCAGGTTCAGGTGATTCTCCCTCCTTAGCCTCCCGTGTAGCTGGAACTACAGGTACGCACCAACACACCCAACTAATTTTTTGTATTTTTAGTAGAGACAAAGTTTCACCATATTGTCCAGGCTGGTCTTGAACTCCTGACCTCAAGTGATCCACCCACCTCGGCCTCCCAAAGTGCTAGGATTACAAGCATGAGCCACTGCTCCTGGCCTTTATTTTTCTTTTTTAATAGATATGGGGTCTCACTATGTTGCCCAGACTGGTCTCAAACTCCTGGGCTCAAGTGATTTTCCCTCCTTGGTCTCATAAAGTGCTGGGATTACAGGCGTGAGCCACTGCACCTGCCGTATCATACTCTTTTAATTATATCTCTGGTTCTTTCCTCGGTTTGGTATCTGAAGGATTCCTTCAAAGTAGCTATGACTTGATTATTTTGCAGAGAAATATACACTCCTTCACAGCCCCAAAACCTGTTTCAGTGGAAAAAGTTGTTCCTTTCTTTTTGTTCTCATAGACCCAGGAGAAGTTGCGAGAAAAGTCACTGAAAATGGCTAGTGGCCCAATATCACTAACACACCCTAAATCTGTTCCTTCTACTCTCAGATATTTCCCTGATGATGTCAAGCATGAAACAGAGCAGCATGTTAGACCCATAAGATTTGACAGGGAATTGTACATTGATATACAAAATGTACTTGATGAAAATACAGTTCATTTTTTTTAATCCATGGAGACCTAAAAATACACATAAGTATAGTATTTGGTTTGATTTACACATTAAATTTTACAGGAACATAAAGAGTGTCTATTAGCAAGTGATTTCTCGTAAAAGAAAGAATCTGGCATGCTGATCTGGCTTGTATATCTGAGAAAGAAGTTCTACAATGGTATTATTCCTAACGAAAATTCTAGGTAATGTAAAGACTGAGAACATGTGGTATTGTTCTTTATATTCTGCACAGCACCCCAGCACAGCGCTGCACATAGAGTAGGTGCTTAGCTAAGTGTTAAATATATAAATCAACAGGGCTCTGAAGGATGCTGCCATTATCTGGAGTGTTTCTTTTTATTTGCTTGTTAATTGACTATTTGCTATATTTGGAATAACACTTTCAAAACATTAAACTCAAAACATCAAAGTCCTCATTTTGATTCTTTAAGATACATGAATCTCAAATACTGTGTGTCCGTATTTTGTACAGTGGCATGTATAATGGCAAATATAGGGCAGATATCTCACTCACCTTCCTCCTGATGAACAAAACGGCTTTAGCAAAGTTAAACCCTAACTAAACCCTTGTTTAGTTAAACTCTAAACACAGGGTTTAACTGTTTAAGCACTTTCTATTTATTTATTTTTTTCCCTAAGTTCATGGATGAGCTCAAGAATTTCTGCATGCCAAACACTCAAATTATAGTGCCAGATTCACAGTTATAAATAGATGCTCAATAAATACTATACTTGATAACAGTGCTAAAACTGGTGATCTTAAGTTTATTCCAAATCCATGCAATATCTTCTGTTCTAATTTTTCTATAGCACTCTGAGCATTTGCATCTTTTACTGTGTAAGCAAAGCCCCGTCCAAAACCACTGTGTATTCCTGTCCAGAACCATTTGCAGATCCCCAGGGCTACCAGCATCAGTCTCCCTTGCCAGCTATGTTTAGAGCATTCCCATGAGGGAATCTGCCCCCACAGCCATCTTTGTCTCTTTTGCTGGAAGACAGAACGATTCTTATTGGCGTTATGTGCCTAAGAGGGTGCAAAAGGGACATGTTTAGATTTAGCCTGTCTCTACATTACTGCAGTACCCCCATCTCCACTCATTTTATGGAGCCAGGTGGCCACCTTCAGTGAGCACATGGGGGTTTCTGCCTGTAGATTTCAGCCACCTTCTGAACCCGGAAGAGCATTCTTCTGATGGGCATTGATTTATCCTACTTTAATGCACCCCTCAGATTTCTGTAGGGCTGTGCCCCATAGGGGCATTCCTTTAGTAGGCCAGGTATCCATTGTTGTCCTGCCTCACCCTGCAGCCAGGCCACTGTCCACTGTCCATGAGTCATTAAAAAACGTATGTGCTTTTACCACTGTTCAATTCATTTCTGTCACTACAAGGAAAATAGCATGCAATTCAACCCACTAAGCTGATTTGTTTTCATCTTCTTCAGTAAGAGTGGCAACATTCCAAATATGATATTGTCCTTTCACCTTGGAACTGCCATCTACAAACCAAGCAGCTCTTAGTTAAGAGAGGTTTATAGAGCACTGTAGAACCCAGGAATTCCTCACGCTGTTCCTGAGTCAGTCATATGGGAAAAGAGGCTCCCTGCTTGTGATTACAGTTTGCTCTCTGTATACATGGGTTCTGCATACACAGATTTAACCAACCATGAATCAAAAATATTTGGAAAAAAGTAAAGAGGTCGGGCACAGTTGCTCACACCTGTAATCCCAGCTCTTGGGGAGGCTGAGGCAGGAGGATTGCTTCAGCTCAAGGGTTTGAGACCAGCCTGGGCAGAGACCCCCGTCTCTACTTAAAATTAATTTTTTAAATATTAAAAATAAAAATTCTGTTTAAGTAAAAACAATACAATAACAAGAATACAAATTGAAAAAAAGAATACAGCATAACAATTGTTTACATTGTATTAGGTATTATAAGTAATCCAGAGTTGATTTAATGTATACAGAAAGATGTGTATAGGTTATATGCAAATACAACACAATTTTATATAAGGGACTTGGGCATCCGTGGATTTTGGTGTCCACTGGAGGTCTTGGAACCAGTTCCCCCACTGATACCGAGGGCTGACTACATTTTCAGGTGGCATGATCCTGTATAAACCATTTCCATTATATTATGGAACTCTTCTGGACACTGCCATCCCCACTGAAGCATTTCTCTGACATCAACCAAGAAATTATGGGTATTTCAGGTTTCAAGATTATTTTACATCCTTCAGTCATAGGTAGCTTCAAATGATGTCCCATCACAAGGTGGTAAATGCCCCTCAAGTGAGAATTCTCTAGTTCAAAGACCCAGTAGTTGTCACTGGAAGGTGTACATAGGCTTTTGCCATAAGCCCCAGTCTAGGCTCCATACAGGGCTATTGCACGGAGAATTTGTTCATATCATCACTCCAGCTTCTATTCTATACTATGTGGGCTCAAGAAATCTTTCTGGTTCCCATTTAGCATGTCCAATTAATATTGTTTGAAGGGCATATTTACATGCCTTCTGTTTTATAAGACAAGGTAAGAGAAGTGTTCCCCAGCCAGACATAATATCCATTCACATAAGACATTTGGGTAAAGGGTAAACTTTACATAAAGCCTGACTAAACATTCCAAATTTCATAATTCTATCAACCTTTTATATTTTTATGTTCTTTCAATCTAATTGTAGCCCAAGTCAGGGCTTTACCAGTGGACCATAGCACCATAGCATGTGGGGCTCTCATGTATCAAGGAGTCACAGGAATTTCTCTTTACCACCCCCTGACCATATTACCCACTTGTGTACACAAGGCTTTGAGTCCCCAGCAGGGGATTGAGCCAAGGAACCCTGGCACTATTTCTATTTTTATCTTGATTAATCTGCCTGCCTATTGCCCCAGGCAATTTGAGATCAGATTTCTTATTATAATATTTCTCTTCTGACTTTCAAAATTTCTCCAAGCTGGGAAATACAGCAGACATATTTGGAGCCTCTTAATGTTTGGGGACTAACAGGGGCTTTCTTTGGTTCACACAGCCTTCAATAGTGTTGTATTGAGACCTTTAACTCCATCAGTTTCCATTTTATTCATCCCATTTAAAAATCACCATCTAAAGAATTCCACCCTCCTGGGATAAGTCCCATGACTCTCCCTCTCTTCTTCAATGTTTTCTTTGTTTACCTTATTTCTTAATAACTGTTTAAAAATGTCCACCTTCCTGAGACCATTCCTTTGACTCTCCCATTTACCTTTTCCCATTGTCTGTTAACTTAATGTTTTTATTAGCATCTGTAAGACCCTGGAGGGGAAGCTGAGAGAGCAAATCTGATAAGGCTTCCTGAACTTTTGTTTTGTTTTGTAGCAGTAAGCTTATATGAGGGGTCCACATTAAAGGGGTAAATGCCACATTAACCATGGCATTTACTATTACCTAGGTAATGGGCATTATCAACAGGTAAATATCCCAGTCATCATAAAGCCAGTCCCACATGGCTTGCATACATAGCATACTAGCCATCTCATCTGGGGTGTTCCACCTGGTGTTTATAAGTGAAGTTGGACAGTTCCCCTTCTCAGGATAAACAGACCTCACAGTAGCTGTTATCCAATCCCCCAGCAAAAGGTTTAAATATTTATCTCCTCCAAAACTCATGTTGAAATTTAATTTCCAATGTAAGAATATTGAAAGGTGGGGCCTTTAAGAGGTGATAAGGTCATGAAGGCTCTGCTCTTATAGATTAATTTTAAAGGAAAAACTTTAGACAAATTAAATTTAACAGAGTTTAATTGAGCAAAAATTCACAGATTGGGAAGTGCCAAGAATCAGAATAGATTCAGAACAACTCTGGGGCTGCCACATGGTTGGAAAACATTTGTGGGCAGAACAAAGGAAGGTGATGCACAGAAAGTGGAACTGAGGTACAAAACAGCTTGGGTTGATTACTGCTCAGCATTTGCCTTATTTGAACACTGAACAGTTGACAACCCATGATTGGCTGAGATTCAGCTACTTGTTACAAGAGTAGGTTATAGTCTGTTTGTATATCCAGTTATGTTACAGTGTGAGAAACCTTTGGGCTGAACTTAAAATATGTAAGGAGGCAGCTTTACGCTAATCTTAATTTAACAAATCCATTTATGGGTTAATGGATTAATGGGCTATCTCAGGACTGGGACTAGTGGATTTAAAAGAAGAGAAAGAGAAAACTGAGCTAACACACTCGGCCCCCTCACCATGTGATGCTCTGTGCCACCTTAGGCTCTGCAGAGTCCTCATCAGCAAGAAGGCCCTCACCAGATGCAGCCCCTCCACCTTGGACTTCTCAGCCCTGCCCAAGGGCTTTGTGGAAGGCTGAACTTGAGAGTGATGGACTAGGGTATCTGGTGGAAGAAATATCTGAGAAACAAAGCATTCAGGCTGCTGACTGGCTACTTTTAACTCCTTGTGGCTACTTTTAACCGCTTACATTAAGCTCTGAGAGGGAAAAAATGATTTGGACACAAAATTTATTATCAAAGAGAAGTGGAAAGATCTGGAAAACTCTTAGCTTGAAAAAAGTGTGTTAGGGAGAGGAAACCAAGGGTGTAGCCCAGCGACCCTTTGCCAAAGAGATTAGCATGAATACAAAGGGACCAGGTGCTATTCCACAAGACAGTGGAAGAAAGATCCCAGAGACTTGTCAGAGATCTTCAAGGCTGACCCTCTCATCAGGCAGAATGATTTTGGGGGATAGGCTGAGGCATTCTTCACAGGCTCACTACCCCAGAGTCCTGGAATTTCAGTGTGGTGCTTCTCAGCCTCCTGCTCTGTTCCCAAGCAGCCCCAGGTACATATCAACCCCAGTTTAAGAAGATACAAGCTGTAAGCCTTGACGGTGTCCATGTGGTGCTAATTCTGCAGGCTTACAGAAAGCAAGAGCTGTGAAGGAGGCTTGGCAGCCTCCACCTAGATTTCAAAGGATGTGTTGAAAGGCTGGGGGCCCAGGCAGAGACTCAGTCTTAGGTATTCTCTTATAAGCAATTGATTACAATCTAAAACAATTTAGATTGTGTCTACATCACATATAGCCACCTGTGACTGCTCCATAGTGAATGTGGGTTCTGCATCAACCCAAACATATTCTTCCATTTTGTAGCATTTAAAATGCTTCAGCTTCTAAATTAGTTACTCTCACAATTCATTTTAGTAAAAGTTCCTCAGGGAGCTGATGATACAAA
The DNA here is from genome assembly GCF_000001405.40 of Homo sapiens. Taxonomy (NCBI): domain Eukaryota; kingdom Metazoa; phylum Chordata; class Mammalia; order Primates; family Hominidae; genus Homo; species Homo sapiens. The sequence goes on along the minus strand of NC_000012.12, from coordinate 45,685,996 downwards.
TCTACAAAATAAAACAATTTCTTAACACTATACCATCTAGTTTCAATAGTTTCTTGGTTTTGCTCTTCCCCCAACATTGACTACCTTCTTGGCAACCACAGGTCTTAGAGGTACTTTCTGTTGTCTCTGCATAATTTGTCCCTTGGTGGGTGGCTTTGAGGCTTGTGGCCAAATCTCAGAACAACTAAAATCTGAGCTTGGTCTAGCATCGAGGTCCAACCCAGCACTCTTTTAATTTAATTTTATTGATTAGAGGTAATAATAACCAAGAGATTGCATGTTTCACTTTTTTCTTATTAGGTAGTATTTCATTATGCATTAAATGAAACACACTGCAGGAGCTGGATCCATCTCTAAGTTCCACTGGTAATTTTTCCCTTTAGTAACGGATTACAGCACAGCTGCTGCTCCATACTATGGGTGATCATGTGGACACACAGAAATCAAAGGTTCCTCATCACCTACCCTTTTATCCTTTATCTTCTTAAATCACATGTTTCCCTGATCCAGGGTGGTTCTAGCAAATCTCACTTACCTGACACCAGTAAGAAAGTGGGGAAGTGATACCAGGAAGAGAATATAGCTAATAAAGGATGCATTATTAAGTTAGGCACTCCAGTAAGTGGCTGGAGCTTAATTTCATGGCCGAAACTGGGAAAAAATTCAAAATATATGCCTTAAAATTATCCCAACCAAGGTGTGAGGAAGCTATAGTATTTCTATGCCAGCTCTGAGGTAAGTCACTGGTTGAGATCTGTTAGGGTGTGTGTGTGTGTGTTGATTGCTTGTCCCTTTGGTCTGCTAGAAGCATTGGCTGGGCTTTCTGTGGTTTTGGGATAGGGTAGGGAGTGGAAGGAAGGAGTCTTCAGGGACAGAGATTCAGATACTGAGTGAAAGTCGGCCAGAGCATAAGAAGAAGCTGGGGCACCACAAAGTCTTCTACAGCCCCCTAGAATTGTGTAGAGATAACCCTTACAGCAGCATGTGGTGCCTTGTACATCTATTTGTCTTTATTTAATCTAGTATTTAGATTCCATATCATTGATTTCATTTTTCCTTTTCATTATTTTAGTTCTTCTGGGTAAGCTATTAAATATTGTATTTTTTTTAAATGGTGACCAGGCAGTCTTCAGTGTCCAAGTATGGTTTGAGAAATGTTGCATTATACAATATTATATCAAAATCCATCACCCTGAGTTTTGACATTTACTACATTTTTAGGGGTTTGTGTTGATCTTTTCTCCCTTTGTAATATCTTAAATATGTCTTCGGAATGCAACCCTATTTAATTCTCTAAGGTGTAATCATGGTGTGATTACCTTACATTTCTTAATTTTCATGGGCATGTTTTGAGAACTTACAGAGATAATTCAGAGAAAGCTCTTAGAACAGTGACTACCAACTGTTACGTATTATTATGTCTTTCCTACACATGGCAGCACAAGTCACCTTTTATTTTCATGTTAACAGGACCATACAATGCAAGCAGTTCTGCCACTTGCTTATATATACATTCATCTTGTTATTTTGAACAACTGCATAGTATTCCAGGCCTCTATTGATAAATCACCTCATAGTTATACAATATTTGTCACTACTTATAAGGTAATTAACATAATACCTAAATAAGTTTAAAAATGGGACTCTGATATGTAATTTTTTTCCCTGCCAGATTTTCTGCTGTTCAGAATTTAGCATACATTTGGAATTTGTTCACATTTATTATAATAGTCTACATGCTTCTGGACTTTAAAGGTTATTGTTTATGAATACTTTAGTTATAAGATATACACCTAGATAGATAGATAGATAGATAGATAGATATAGATAGATAGATAGAACCTATTATATCAGTTAGAACTAGTTTTGTTTGCAAGTAACAGAAATCCAAAAGAACAGTGGTTAAACCAGACAGAGTACTTCTCTCCTTATGTAAAAATCTATACATTCTATGTAAATGGTACCCCCTGGAATTGCAAGGTACAACTTGTGAAGTCCAAGGAGACTGTTCCAGCTCCAGCCATCACATCTACATTCCAGGCAGCAAGAAAGGGGAATGAACAAAGAAGAAGGAGCAAGGGGATTAACCAATTACCTTTATTTTGTGTATGTGTGATAAAACATACATAGCAAAATTTATCATTTTAACCATTTTTAAGTGTATGGTTAGTTCAGTGGCATTAAGTACATTCGCACTGTATAACCATCACCACCATTCATGTCCAAACATTTTCATTCTCCCAAACAGAAACTCCATACTCATTAAACATTAACTCTCCATTCTCCCCTCTCTTCCATCCCTGGCAACCACCATTTTACTTGCTGTCTTTATGAATTTGACAACTCCAGATACCTCGTATGAGTGGAATCATACAATTGTTTGTCCTTTTGTGATTGGTTTATTTCACTTAGCAGAACGTGGTCAAAGTTCATCTACATTGTAGCATATATCAGAATTCCCTTCCCTTTTAAGGCCAAATAATGTTTCATTGTATGTATATACCATATTTTGTTTATCCATTTATTTGTTGATGGACACTGGGTGGCTTCCACCTTTTGGCTATCGTGAATGATGCTGCTGTGAACATGGGTGTACCAGTATCTGTTTCAGTCCTTTTCAAATCTTTTTTTTTGAGACAGGGTCCAGGCTAGAATGTAGTGGTACAAACTTAGCTCACTGCAGCCTCAACCTCCCAGGCTGAAGTGATCCTCCCACCTCAGCCTCCTGAGTAGCTTGGACCAAAAGTGTGCCACCACACCTGGCTAATTTTTAAATTTTTTGTAGAGGCAGGGTTTTTCCATATTGCCAGGCTGGTCTCTAACTCCTGGGTTCAAGTGATCCTCCTGCCTGGGCATTCTAAAGTGCCAGGGTTACAGGCATGAGCCACTGTGGCTGGCAGCTTTCAAGTCTTTTGAGTGTATAGCCAGAAGTAGAATTGGTGGGTCATATGGTAATTCTGTCTTTAATATTTTGGGGAATGGCCCTGCTGTCTTCCATAGCGGCTGCACCATTTTATACTTCCGGCAATGCACAAGGGTTCCAATTTCACCATATTCTCACCAATGCTTGTTATTTTTTGTTTTTTGACAATAGCCATTCTAATGGTTGTGAATTAGTATATCATTGTGATTTTGGTACGCATTTTCTTAACGTTTAGTGATGTTGAGCGTCTTTTCTTGGGCTTATTGGCCATTTGCATATCTTTGGAGAAATGTCCATTCAACTCCTTTTGTTCTAATTGGATTGCTTGGATTTTTTTTTTTTTTTCTTTTTTGCTGTTCAGTTACAGGAGTTCATTATATATTCTGGATATTAAACCCTTATCAGATATAGTCGTGCTACATAGTGACATTTTGGTCTACAAATATATGTCATTGGTCCCATGAGACTATAATACTATTTTTTTTATGAACACTTGTTCTATGTTTGTGAATCGGGAGAGTTCCCTGACCCCCCTCGCAGGATGTGTGACAGGGCTCATCTGTTCAGCCGCTGTGTGCACTCAAACCCCTTATGGGAGAGGGAGCACATAGATGGGCAGGTGCAGGAGCTGGGGCGAGCACCCCTGGGCTCTGGCCCCTTGGCAGCGTCAAGGGGTGGGTGCCTGCGACTCCTGAAGCCCAAGTGGGTGTGTGTTACAGTGCACTCTTTTAGCCTTGCCGTCTGCAGATGGCTTAAGTGTTAAACAGCTCAGTGCCCTCTTGGTACCCAGGTCCTTGTCCAGCATCCAGGAAGAATCAGGTCACACATGGACTTGAAAAATGAATGCAGGGGTTTTATTGAGTGGTGGGGGTGGCTCTTAGTGGGGTGGATGAGGAGGTGGAAGGGGGATGGAGTGGGGAGATGATCTTCTCCTGGAGTTTGGCCATCCAGTGGCTGATCTCCTCTCCAATAATCCCCAGCTGAACTCCTCTCAGTGTGTAGACGCTCTTTCTCTTCTCTCTCCTGTGCCATTCTGCTGTCCTTCTGCTCTTCTGTCCATCTCCTCGTGGAGCCAGGGCTTCAGGGTTTATATGGGTGTAGGATAGCAGGGCATGCTGGGCCAAAAGGCAACTTTTGGGCATGAAAACAGGAATGCCTGTACCCATTTAGGGCCTCAGGTTTCCAGGTAGTCCTTTGCTGGGGAACTTTCCTCTTCTACCCAGTATTTCTCTGTCTCCTTTCCATATCATTTAGACATACTTAGATACACAAATACTTAGCATTGTGTTATAGTTGTCTACAGTATTCAGTATAGTAGCATGCTATACAGGTTTGTAGCTTAGGAACAATAGGCTATATACCATATAGCCTACTACACACCCAGGCTACATCATTTAGGTTTGTGAAAGTACACTCTGTGATGTTCACACATTGACAAAATCACCTAGTGACTCATTTCTCAAAACATATTCCCAGTGTTAAGTGATGCATGACTGTATATGATTTGCAAATATTTTCTCCCATTCTCTAGGTTGCCTTCTCACTCTTTTAATGGTACTCTTTGATACACAAAAGTTTTAAATTATGATATAATACTATTTATCTATTTCAGGCTGGATGTGGTGGCTCATGCCTATAATCCCAGCACTTTAGGAGGCCGAGGCGGGCAGATCACTTGAGCTCAGGAGTTCAAGACCAGCCTGGCCAACATGGCGAAACCCCATCTCTATTAAAAATACAAAACTTAGCTGAGCATGGTGGTACTACACTCCTGTAACCCCAGCCTCTCAGGAGGCAGAGGTTGCAGTGAGCCGAGATTGTGCTACTGCACTCCAGCATGGGTGACAGAGTGAGACTGTTGTCTCAATAAAATGATACTATTTATCTATTTTATATGTTATCTGTGCTTTTTGTGCCTTATCCAAGAAATCATTTGCAAATCCAATGTCATGAAGATATTCCCCCTATGTTTTCTTCTACAAAAGTTATACTTTGTGGGCCAGGCATGGTGGCTCATGCCTGTAATCCCAGCACTTTGGGAGGCCGAGGTGGGTGGATCACAAGGTCAGGAGATCGAGACCATCCTGGCTAACATGGTGAAACCCCGTCTCTACTAAAAATACAAAAAATTAGCCAGGCGTGGTGGCACACGCCTGTAGTCCCAGCTACTTGGGAGGCTGAGGCAGGAGAATTGCTTGAACCCGGGAGGCAGAAGTTGCAATGAGCCAAGATTGTGCCACTGCACTCCAGCCTGGGCAGCAGAGTGAGACTCCATCTCAAAAAAAAAAAAAAGAAAGAAAGAAAATTTATACTTTGTGAAAGGTGATCATATGAATTAGGTCATTCTTGTCATATTCAACTAAACAGAGGCCAGAGGCTGGGGTAAAAAATACTCAGGGCACACATAACATTGCTCCAAGAATACAAATCTCTGCAAGCCTGACTGCTGAAACTGCCTGTTGTAACCAGTTTTATCTAATGGCTACTGAAACAATCTGCTGTGACTCTAAGTCTAGTTTTACCCACCACTGTCACTCATTAATCAGAGCTTGCCAGTTCCCTAAAACTTTACTAGTGCCAATGAACTTTCTTTCAAAACAATACATTTCTCCTTTTTATAAAACCTCCAACCTTCTCTTTGTTCTTCAAACATACTGGAGACCACCTGGTCTGTGTGTATGCCCTCAATTACAATACTTGCTTCCCAAAGAAAACATTCTAAATTTGGAGATTTGTCTGTATATTTTATTTGACCTCAACAGGTTTTAGCTCTTAAGTCTTTGATCCATTTTGAATTAATTTTTGTATAGAGTGTAAGTTAAGGCTCCAGCTTCATTCTTTTGCCCATGGATATTCGGGTTTCTCACACCATTTACTGAAAAGACACCAGCTATCTTTTATAGAGAGTATCCTATAAACTGCCACGTAACATTTCTGCTTACATCCCATTGGTCCCAACTTTGTCGCAGGGCTACACTTAGCTACAGAAGGTTGGCAAATGAAGTGGTTGCTACAAGCTACTTTATTTTTTAACTTCTATTTTTCCTTTTGTGAAAACTGTCAAATAAGCTACTTTAAATTTAAAATTAAAATGATTTTTTAAAATTTCTTTTCCTCTTTTGATTATCTTAGATATACTATAAAATAGTGTTGTACAATGATATACTTTTGGGTATCTGCACTAATTGAGAGGACAGTTGATTTCCATGTACATAATATATTCTTGAAGACCTAGCATAATATTCCAATAGAAATAAAATAAATAGTGATGGGCGTTGGAGTACTTTTTCAGAGCCTATAAATCTGTTACACTGATATTGATCTTGCAGCTGAGTCACTAGTAGGTTTTTTCCTCTTTGTTTTGCCCAGATACCTGAGGTATTTTAAAGGTTAAAGATGTATCTGCTGCATTTGAGTATCTCAGCATCATTTCTAGTATTTTTCAGTCCATACTCTAAACAAACAATACTGGCTGTTGTGAAGTTTGGCCTTCTTCAGAGTAATTTATCACATTTTACTTCTATTCTAAAGTTACTGGTACGGGAGTGAGCTTTCAAACACCAACATCAGCACTTGATGGTCTGTTTGAGCTATTAAAAACAATTTTACATTAAAATAATGGTAAATGTTAAGCAGCAAAATAGTCACCAAAATTATTTAATTCTAAACCTTGGAACTGAGGTGTTCATATCATATGAAGGATAGGTAGGCATTTCTTTTTTTTTTTTTTCTCTCTTCTCAGCAGAATCAAAGGTAGGCATATCTGCTGAGCAGTTCAACTGACAAAAACATGAAAAACATTTACTATTTACTAGCCTACCAGCTCTGACGTTATGTAAATCTTAATAATTACACAATTCTCAATAATTGTAAGACATTTTTAAAAATTAACATCTAAAATTAGACTTTATTAATATTTCTGTTGTTCTATTTCAAATTCATATAAACTATTCATATAAACTAAATTGTATCCAGTTCTTGGTAACGTGATGAAAGAGAAGCAGATATATAAAGTATATGATCAGTATACTTAGTGACATTTTTGCTTGCTAATGCTAACAAAACTTAGTGATTATATACTTCATAGATTCTTATATACTTTATATATTACTATTTTTATTTTTTAATTTTTTATTAATTTTATTATTTAGTGTAATGTACTTATTTATTTTGAGACAGAGTCTCAATTCTGTTGCCCAGGCTGGAGTGCAGTGGTGCAATCATGGCTCACTGCAGCCTCAACCTCCCAGGCTCAAGCGATCCTCCCACCTCAACCTCTCAATAGCTGGGACTAGAGATGCATGCCACCATCAGCTAATTTTTAAAAATTTTTTTGTATAGACGGGGCTTCATCATGTTGCCCATGCTGGTCTCGAACTCCTTGGCTCAAGTGATCTGCCTGCCTCAGCATCCCAAAGTGTTGGGATTACAGGCATGAGTCACCAAGCCCGGCCTATTATTTGATTCAATTAATTAAATATATATATATATAAATTTTTGAGACAGAGTCTCACTCTGTCACCCAGGCTGGAGTGGAGTGGCTCAATCTTGGCTCACTGCAGCCTTGACCTCCGGGGCTCAGGCGATCCTCCTACCTCAGCCTCCCAAGTAGCTGGGACTAGAGGCACAAAACACCACACCTGGCAAATTTTTAAATTTTTTTGTAGAGACAAGATGTCACTATGTTGCCTAGGCTGATCTGAAACTCCTGGCCTGAAGTGATCTGCCTGCCTCAGCTTCCCAAAGTGCTGGGATTACAGGCATGACCCTCTGTGCCTTGCCAAAGTCCTGTTTTGTTTTGTTTTGTTTTTTAATGATGCCTATTTGCCTTTGTATTAGTCTGATCTCACACTGCTAATAAAGACATATCAGAGACTGGGTAATTTATAAAGGAAAGATGTTTAATAGACTCATAGTTCCACATGGCTGGGGAGGCCTCACAATCATGGTGGAAGGCAAGGAGGAGCAAATCATGGCAGCAGGCAAGAGAGAAAATGAGAGCCAAGTGGAAAGGGAAACCCCTTATAAAACCATCAGATCTTGTGAGACTTATTTACTACCATGAGAACAGTATGGGGGAAACTGCCCCCTTGATTCAATTATCTCCCACCGGTGCGTCCTACAACACGTGGGAATTATGGGACCTACAATTCAAGATGAGATTTGGGTGGGGACACAGCCAAACTATTAGCCCTAAAACACTAGGGGTGAAGTTGGGGGTGAGAGGGGAGTATAAGTGAAACAAAATTGGTCATAGGCTGGTAGTTATTGAAGTGCTGGGTACATGGAATTTATTATATGATTCTGTTTATGTTTGCTTGAAAATGTCCATGATAAAAAGTTTAAAATAACAAAGAGGGCCTGTTTGTTAACACAAATTTATACCTAGTTGCATTTTTCTATCAGAAAAATCTTTTGAAAAGGACAGGTATTGTTTATGAAATTAACCATTTTGAAAGAAATGACATTTTTGCTTGCTAATTCTAAACTTGAACGCTCAAAGCCCTAATATAACTTTCCTGTGAAAGAAGGTAAACTCCATGACAGTGTGTGGCACCCTAATATTGGATGGTGGACAAGAACTCTAACTCTGGTGTCATAGCCTCAGGTAGAGACCTGTGAGTAATTCCTACTGATGAACAGAAGCCAAGGAAAGGAATTAGGTTTAATTCCTAAGATTCACCCTCATAGTTTGCCCTCTAGACTCAGAAAATCCAGTTCAAAGTTAATGCCAACATCTGAGCTGTTGATCACGTCTATTTCTTCTCCTCTGGGATTTTACTATGTCATTATTCCCTTTCTCATATATTCAGCCGTTCTATCCACTAGCCCCTTCCCCATAGCATGTGTGTTCAGATCTCCCATAACTTCCCATCTTCCCCTAAGAATATGCCACCTAAGAAGGTGCCAGCATTCTTTCTCTATCCTTTCTTAAACATTTACTTCAAAATAATGTTTATTCCTGTTCTCCAATTTTCTCACCTCCATCTTACAATAATTAGACTTCTACAACCACCATATCCCCAAAACTACAGTGGTAACAACAACTAATTGCCTAATTAACAAATCCAATGGCCAGTTTTAGGTCTTTGCCTTATTTAATCTCTCTCATTGCTCTTTTAAAAAATTATAACATAAGCTGGACACAGCTTTATGTGCTTTCTAACATTAGCACATGTAATCCCTATAACAAGCCTATGAGGTAGGCACTATTCTCTCCATTTTGCAGTAAAAGAAAGAGAGGCAGAGAGAGGTTGAGTAACTTGCCCAGAATCACTACCCTCTACTTTTTTTCTTTCTTTAATGTTTTTGTTTGTTTGATTAGTTTCTGACATGACAGCTATGGTAGGCAGAATAATGCACCTCCCCCAACCTCTCGTCAAAGATGTCCATGTCCTAATCCCCAGAACCTCCTATAATAAATATATTACTTTACACAGCAAGGAGAATGAATGTTGCAGATGAAATTAAGGTTACTACTCTCCTGACAGAGAATATCCCAGATTATCCAGGTGAGCCCAATGTAACCACAAGTGTTTTTCAAAGTAGAAGACGGGCAGAAGAAGAGAGTTGGAGAAAGTGATGTGTAGACAGAACTAAGGTCAGAGTGGGGTCATGTGAGAAGAACTCTATCCACTTGCTGGCTTTGAAGACTGAAGAAAAATCCATAAGCTAAGGAATCACAGGTGGTTGGTCTCTAGATGCTGGGAAAAATCAAGGAAACCAATTCTTCCCTCAAGTCTCCAGAAAGTAATGCTACTCTGTTGACGCTTTGACTTTAGACAAACAAGACCAGTGTTCGATTTCTAAACCCACAAAACTGTGAGATAATAAACTTGTGTGTGTGTGTTTTGTCTTTAATTTTTTGAAATAGGGTCTAGCTCTGTCACCCAGGCTAGAGTGCAATGGTGTCATCATAGCTTACTGCAGCCTCAAACTCCTGGTCTCAAGTGATCCTCCTGCCTCAGCCTCCCAAGTAGCTGGGACCATAGGCATGTGCCACCACATCTGGCTATTTTTATGTTTTGTAAAGATGGGGGTCTCATCATGTTGTCCAGGCTGGTCTCAAACTCCTAAGTTCTAGCAATCCTCCTGCCTCAGCCCCATAAAGTGTTGGGATTACAGGCATCAGCTACCACACCTGGCACTGCATTGTTTTATTTATTTATTTTTCTTTTCTTTTCTTTTTTCTTTTTTGAGACAGGGTTTTGCTCTGTCACCCAGGCTGGAGTGCAGTCGTGCGATCTTGGCTCACTGCAGCCTTGACCTCCTAGGCTCAAGTGATTCTCCCATCTTAGCCTCCTAGCATTACAGGTGTGCACCACCATGCCTGGCTGGTTTTTCTTTTCTTTTCTTTGTTTTGTTTTTAGTAGAGATGTGGTCTGGCCCTGTTGCCCAGGCTGGTGTCAAACTCCTGAGCTCAAGTGATCTTCCTGCCTCTGCCTCCCAAGGTGCTGGGATTATAGGTGCTAGCCACTGTGCCTGGCCAGCATTGTTTAAAACTATAAAATTTTTGGTAATTTTTTACAGCAGTAATTGGAAACTCATACAATAGCCTATCCTGGCTGTCCTTCTGCCTCATTGTCCATTTCTTCTCAGGGTCCTTTCCTGGTTTCTCTTACTCTGACCCCATAATTGTTGGTATACCCCAAGGCTCTGTCCTTCCCACCCATTCTCATCATTTACATTTCTTCTGGGCACTATTACCATTCTCATGGTTTTGATCCATTATCTGTATTCTGACTCCCAAATCTCTAATTCTAACCCAAACAAAATCCTGAACTTGAGACATGTGTATCTAACAGTCTCCAAGACCTTCTACCTCAATGCCTAACAGGCAACTTAAACTTATTATATACCCTGCTCACCCTGCTCCTTTAGTATACAATACCTGTATTTTCTGCTTAGAATATGTATAACCCAAGCCAGAAACTCAGAGGTCATTGTTTACCTCTTCCTCAACTTCTAAAACCCAATAGTAGATAAGTCCTGTTGATTTTACCTCTCCGATAGCTCTCCAAACTATTTCCTTCTCTTCACCCTAGCCACCACTCCTCTACTTCATTACTTGCCTGATTCACGTAACTTCCTTGGATTTTAAAAACAGCCTTCTGTCTTTTGACTTTTTGCCTAAGCTGGGCCCCATCCCTCACACTCCCTATTTTCCATATAGCCACCAGAGGTACTTTTTGAAATATAAATATAATCATGTTACTTCATCGCTTAAAATTCTTCAGCGTTTACTCATTCCCTCGAATGTAAAACAAGGGAAAAAACGATCTGGCCCCAGCCCAACTCTCCAGCCTCGTGTACTTGGGTCATATTGAAGTACTTGTGGCTTCCTGACAAGCTGTGCCATTTAATGCCTTGTGCCTTTGCAATACTATTCCAGCTGCTTAAAATACTGTCCCCACCTTTTCTACCTGTTATCAGCTCAAGCATGACCTCATCTGTGAAGCATTCCTTGCTCTTCCCAAGTAGAATTCTCCAGTCGAATCTGTACATTTCTATCAGAGTACCTTTTACTCACTATTGTATATCTTTTCCTGTCTTCCATCCTTGTTAATCTTGGAGCTCTCTGTAAGAAGCAGATTTTATTCACCTCTCAATTTCTAGCATCTAGCATAAAGCCTTGTACACAGGCACATATTAACTGTTGAATACAAGAAAGATTTCTTGAGACTAAGTCAGAGGGAAGCAGAGAGATGAGGAGCTCTTAAAGGATTTCTGTGGTCATTGGAGGATGTGATAAATTATTGTTAAGGCAGATAATGTTCTGAACTTGAGTTTCATAATCCTTTGATTGTGGTCCATCACTAATTTGGAAAATAATAAAGAAGGCCTGTGCCCAAGTTAAGCACAGTATTCCCTGTGCCTAGTCCAGTATCTGGTATACAGTACATAGTTTTGAAATATGTACTGAAAGAATGATTGGATATACAAAGGGATGAAGAAGAGACCATAACATGTGGAGGTGGGGTTAAGTGGGAAAGAGGAGTAGAACTTGGATATTTTTGCAAGGAGCAGTGTCAAGAGCATAGGCATGGAATTGGGAACATAGCAGGTGAGAGCAACAAGGAAGAGAGTGGTTGAATATTCTAAAGAGGTATCACCTGAAGGATGTGAGGTGAAGATGGGAGATGTGTAAATAGAGGGACAGTCTTGGCAGGCACGAAGACTCAGTGAGATGTCTCCATGGTTCAGATGTGAACTGATCAAGCATAAACCAGGAGGGATATGGAATTAGAATGGAAAAGAGCTGTATGAGAGATGGAGGAAGGATTAGTGAGAGATGTCAGTGAGTGACTCCATACAGAAAACAGAGAAAGGAATGAAGAACGACTCCAAGATTTTGAAGCTCAGAGAAATGCCCAAATTAAGCAAGTCCAGAAAAGGAAGCTGGCTGAGCAAGAAAATGGAAGCATTTAGCTTTCCCAATAGCTTTATAAGATTGAGGCAGAGTTAGAAGGCATCGTTACCCTTTTAGAAACCAGGTTAAGACAAACACATTTTTCTGTAAACTCTTTAATCATTGTTTAGTGTGATCTGTAATTTAAATATCACCACAGTTTTCTTTGCTAATCTTTCCCCTAGCTGCAAAAGAAATATGTGATTAACAGAGAACTTGGAAAACATATGAAGCAACATTTAAAAAGTTATCAAAAAATCAGTCTATTATATAAGTGTAACAACCAAAGTCAAAATTTGGAGGTATGGCCAGGCATGTGGCTCATACCTGAAATCTCAGTACTTTGGCAGACCAAGGCAGGAGGATTGCTTGAGGCCAGGAGTTCAAGACCAGCCTGGGCAACATAGTGAGACCCTATCTCTACAAAAAATTTAAAAATTGGCCATGTGTGGTGGTGCATGCCTGTAATGCCAGCTATTCAGGAGGCTAAAGTGGGAGGATCACTTGAGCCCAGGAGTTTGAGGCTACAGTAAACTATGATCATGCCACTACACTTCAACTTGGGCCACAGAGTGAGACCTTGTCTCTAAAAAGAAAAAAAAAATTGGTGATGCATCCTTTAGGTAATTTTTGATGTATTAATACATATTGTATTATAAAACTTTTTTTTTTTGAAACAGAGTCGCTTTGTTGCCTAGGCTGGAGTGCAGTGGCACGATCTTGGCTCACTGAAACCTCTGGTTCCTGGGTTCAAGCGATTCTTTGGCCTCAGCCTCCCGAGTAACTGGCACTACAGGCACGAGCCACCATGCCTGGCTAGTTTTTGTATTTTTAGTTGACACAGGGTTTCACCATATTGGCCAGGCTGGTCTTGAACTCCTGACCTCGTGATCCACCTACCTTGGCCTCCCAAAGTGCTGGGATTACAGGCATGAGCCACCACACCTGGCCTTGAACTTGTTTTTTTATTGGTAATACCATTATTTCTTCACTGTCAGTATTCTTTGACTAGTTTTTTTAGAGTTGGTCTGAGTACTGTATACATAGGCAGGTACAGTGGCTCACGCCTGTAATCCCAGCATTTTGGAAGGCCAAGGCAGGTGGATCATTTGAGGTCAGGAGTTCAAAACAAGCCTGGCCAACATGGTGAAACCCCATCTCTACTAAAAATACAAAAATTAGCTGGGCATGGTGGTGGGTACCTGCAATCCCAGCTACTTGGGAGGCTGAGGCAGGAGAATCGCCTGAGCCTGGGAGGCGGAGGTTGCAGTGAGCAGAGATCACACCACTGCACTCCAGCCTGGGTGATAGAGGGAGACTCCGTCCCAAATAAATAATTAAATAAATACTGCATATCTAATATTTCCTTGTTCCAAAAAGATTTGAACAACACAGAGTACTTGTACAAAAGATCTTTCCATTCTAGTCTGTTAATTCTACCAAAACCATTCTTCTAAAGGAAGCCCTGTTTGCAGCTTGTATTTCTTTTCAGAACTTTTTCAATGCACAATTACATTCACATATATTTCATATCTGCAAACATATATTATCTATATACACTATATATATACCTATATATTGTTTGTGTATAGGTCTCAAATATGCCTATATATACTCATGTACCATATGATTATAGTGGCTATCAAGTATTCCATATTACGACTGTATTTTAACTTAGTTAACTGCAGAACATTTAGATTGTTTCCATTTTTGTGTTTAAAAAATGCAATAAATCAGTAACATCCTTGTCTTAATTCTGACCATTGGGAATTCTTCTAGTGTTTCATTGTTAAATATGTTAGTCCATATAAATATTACTTGTCATGACAAAGTGGACTTCTTCTATCTTCAGTTTACTGAGACATTTATTTCTTTAATTATGAATAGTTGCCAAATTCTAGCAAGTGCTTTTTGCCTTCTATTAAGATGATATTACTTTTTTGACCTCTTAGTGTGATGAATCTTATTAATGTGTTATTAAATAATCCTTTCTGTATGATTGAATTAACCCTTTTGGTAAATTATTCTTTTAATAATAAATTATTGAATTTCATTTGTTCGTATTTTATTTAGAACTTTGAATCGATATTCATTTGTTTATATTTTTAACTTGACCAGGAACTGGCTTCTAGATATTTAAAGGATGTGTCATTGCAAATGTAAGAGGGTTGAAAATAGACACACACCCAGCAGCCTAGGAATCTGGGATGTCTTCCACACAGCTCTCATAATAAGCAACTCCTTTAGTCCCTATTAAAAATAGGGAAGAGGACTTCCAGCCTCTCCTGTGCTAAGTGATTCCATGTTTTCTCTGGGCCTCTAATTTGGAGGGTAAGACTGGAGAGACAGTCTGATCAATGCGCCAGTACCCACCTCCATCCAATTCCATAGAGCCTAGAATCTTTCAGGGGGATGTGCTTATTCTCTCTTATCCTTCTTTATAGTTGACCAACTGGGAGCCAGCCATCTCAACAACTTTTTGAAGAGAAGCACGATGTAAAAAAACTAGAATTAAATCAAAACTGGAATTGATTTGGATATTTTGTATCCTTGGTAGCCTTTCAAACAGAAAAGATGATTCTTATTAGCAGTTTCTATTTAAAATTGGAATTACAGTAATGATATATTCATTTATAAAAAGTATAATGTTTGGCCGAGTGCAGTGGCTCACACCTGTACTCACGTCACTTTGGGAGGCTGAGGCAGGAGGATTGATTGCTTGAGCCCAGGTGTTTGTGACCAGCCTGGGTAACATAGTGACACCCTGTCTCTACAAAAAAATAAAAAATCATCTGGGCATGGTGGCACATGCCTGTGGTCCCAGCTACTTGGGAAGTTGAGCTGGGAGGATTGCTTGAGCCTGGGAGGTCGTGGCTGCAGTGAGCTGCAATTGCACTACTGCACTCCAGCCTCGGTGACCAAAAAAAAAAAAAAAAAAAATTTATGAAAAATAGTGATTTTTTTTTTTTAAAGACTACTTCTTCTTCCCTACCCCCAGGACTAGTAGAGCCAGAAGGGGGTTACTTTGGGAAATTACTATTTGCCACCAGCTAGAAAAAGCCTGTTCTGTGAATAAGACAAGTGGTTATGAAAGAGGATGTGGTTGGGGTAGATTCAGTTTGTGGCAATCATTTTGAAGCATTCTAAGAAAGGCTTTATCTGTTGGAATACAGAAAAGTGGTATTAATTTCTCCACCTCTAAGTGTAATCATGGCACTTCCCCTTACTAATTCATGTATCAGGTTTGTTGTGAGGATTATGTGAATTAATATACGTGAAATGCTTGGACTATTGCCAGGCACATAGTAAGCTCTCAATAAATGTTATTTTCTTATTATATTTATAGAATGTTAATTATTATGAAGGTGGGCAGCTTCTGATGTGACTGCCAATGATCCCAACTTCCTGGTATTCATATCCTTGTGTAATCCCCTCCAGTTGAGTGTGGGCTTAGTTACTTGCTCTTAATAAAAAGAGTATGACAAAAGTGGTGGAAATACTAATGTCTATTAACAGTAGACAGTGGCTTGTATTTTGCTGGACTCTATATCTTTCCCAGCTTTCACACTTTGCAAACTACCATGTTTGAGAGGCCCACCTGGCACAGAATTAGGGATGGTTTCTGTCCAACAGGCTGCAAGGAACTGAATTCTAACAATAACCATGTGAGTGAGCATGGAAGTGGATCCTTTCCCAGTCGAGCCTTGGAATGACTACAGCCCCACAGGACACATTGATTGCAGCTTGTGAAAGACTCTGAAGCAGAGTACCTAGCTAAATTGTGTCCAAATTCCTGACTCACAGAAACTGTGATTTTGTTCTTTTAAGCCACTAAATTTCGGGGCAATTTGTTATGCAACAAGAAATAATACATTTTTTTTGTTATCAGTATCATAATAATCATTATTATTAGCAATATAACATAGAGTTAAGAATATGACCTTATTCTAGAATCAAATGGCCTGAGTTTGAATCCCAGCTCTTCCACTTACTAGCTGTTTGACCTTATGTCAATTATTTTCCTCAACAGCAAGATGGAGCTAATAATAGTTGTGAAGAGTAAATGAATTAATACATGTAAAAACTCAGGCACTTAGTAGGTGCTGTATCTGCTGGATGCTGCTATTATTTAATGAAGTGGAAACCAGTACACAGACCCTGCTCCTGCTAGTATTAGCCATCAGCTCTGGTTTTCTGTTAAAATCTTTTGCAAACCAAGAATTCTTTCTAGTTTTAGTTTATAAATACATTCAGCCCAGTGCTGAGGTGAGAGGCAAACAGAAAGAATAATGGTTTCTACATTATTTTATGAAGAGAAACTGAAAGTCCTTTCAAGTAAACCTTCTTAAAGATAAGGAATTGGTTTCGTTCTCTGAAAGAGAAGTGAAATTTCATGCCATCTTGTCATCTACACTCAAATATTGCATATTACTTAGATGGATTACAGTAGACAGGGGGATAAGCCCTTAGTTTACATTCACAGTTCTTACATGGCAGGCTCAGAGTAACCATACTATTGAATGCTGAGTCAAACAGAAGCCACAGAAGTAATTAGGTTCTAGTAGTCCAAGAAAGAGCTGGGCAGAGGCAAGGTCTAAAGAAATAACTTCACTAGGTAAGAGATTAAAATTTGAGCCAGTGTAAGATCAGACAAAAGCAAGCTTGAAAACAAAGAGGTCATTTATGGAGGCAAAGATTAGGTGTCAAAAGACCTTTAAAGAACAAAAATAATACATCACATTTGTATAGCACTTCAGGGTTTACCACACGTTTTAACACACAGTATTTTATTAGCTCCTCACAACAACTGGGTAAGGCAGTGCTAATATGCTATTCTCATTTTGAAACAAGGCAATGGAAGATCAGTGGGGTTAAGTTACTTACTTGAGTTCACACAGCCACTAAGTGGGATTAGAGTCAAAACTTCTTTCTGATCTGTGTGATAGAATATTTGGTGTGATAAAGCCATTGGGTTATCTTTTTTCATCAGTTCCTGTGTCATCCAAGATAGGATTATTTAGGACTTAACATTCTTGACCAGGAATGTATACTCTGTGAGCAGGGCATGGCAGACACCTTGTAAGTGAGCTTGAATTTTGAGTTCCAAGTTCCAAGTAGGTTTATTTTATTCCAGTTAACAAACTTTGCTTCTCTCCATATTCCTGTTCAGTAGCTATTTTGTGAGACGTTCCAAACTCCCTGAAATCTTTTGATAAAAATTAAGTAAGAAAATGTTAAGTTCCATGGATATTCGAAAGTAATGACTCCCTATTTAAAAACTACCTTGCACTAACTACCTATGACATTTTCACAATATTTTATGGTATAAGTTTGGAGTTGATTTCAGTATAGAAACACCATTTAATATAATGCGGAAAATGGCCCTGGATTATGCTTTTTGCAAACCATACCCGTCATACAATATAGCAACATGAGGTTTTTTTTTTTTATCTAACCTTAAATTTATCCTTCATAAGCAAATAGTTTATATGTCAGTTTTTATCTTTCTTTGCCAAATACTATGTATCAGTAATCTTTATAAATTTTTACTAAATATAAACAATGTGCCTAGGACCCAGAGATGTCCTTAGGCACTGTAGTCTAGAAAAGGACATAAGTTATTATGTCCATGTTAGGGATTTTTTCCTCTCCTTCTAACACTCAATGCCTTCATTATGTAGCCAGTTGAGTGTTTCACGCTGAGGCACCCTTTCAAATGTGCCATTCTTTGGAATGGCCTTAGGATTCTAGATCTTCCTCTTACTCAGCTGGTCTACTGAGTGCCATATGGTATATTAGGTTCTCTGACGATATAGAGTCTTAGTAGGTAAAAATATATGCAAGCACATTCATTCATTCATTGCATAACTATTTACTGCCCCCATGGAGCTTTCATTCTGATGACAGAGACATTCAATAAACAAGATAATGCAGAAAAATGTGCATAGTGAGAAATGCTAAAGATTTTAAAAATCAGAAAAGGAGATTTAAAGGAGGGTTTTGAAATTTTGGTCGGGAAGACCTCACTAAGGTGAATTTTGAGTAAATAAGTGAGGAAAGAAGCTAAGTGACAAGATGAAAGTCATGCACAGCAAAGGTTTGTGGAAAGTACTTTAGAAACACACACAATGATGTTAATGGCAGCCAATACTCATATAATATATTTTATATTCCAGACAATGTTCAGAGCACTTCATATAGATTAATTGATTGATTTGGGGTGAGGGGATTGGGACAGGGGATAAGGGATGGCTGCACGGAGGTGAGACATTCAGGTTGGCCCTGAACAATGAGAATGAGTGTTGGGACTGGGGAGCTTCTGGATGCTGGGATGTGGTGAGAGAAGTAGGGAAACATGTATGCAAACAGCAGAGACAAAACACACTTGAAGTGACTGGGGAATGTGTCTGGGAGTCAAAGTCATTTTAAAAAATAACTGTCTTGATATTTTTCTAAGAGAAAAAAATCTGTTTTATTGAAGACAATAGCATAAAAGGACAGGGGAGGAGGTGTTTATATTTATAATTCACAAAGTAACATTTTAGGATCTAGGCTTTACCAGAGGAGGGGAGAAAAAAACTTCCACTCATCCCTGCTTACTCATCTCAGGGTAGGCCAGGATTCAAGAAATGACACAGTAGAAAAAAGCACTGTCTCATTCTCATTGAGATAGGAATAATACAGGGTGGTCACAGGAGAATAGAAAATTCCAGGCAGTAGTTTCACATGAGCAGCAAAAGGAAACTGTTGAAATACCTGCGTAAGCTAGGGGCTGATAAGACCCTGAAAAACCAGGGTGTGGGCCAAGCTGGCTATGACCGACTAGACCCTACATGGTGCTGGATTTGACCTAGGTTTCTCCTAGGACCTCATTATATGCTCATTAACATACAAATCACAAACCCGTCAGTGCCATGACAGTTCTGGAAACCCCCTGTTTGGTGTAAAAATGGATGGCACCATAGTTCCAAGAAATCTTCAACTTTTTCCAGGAATCTTCATAAATATACCACCCCTTGGTTAAAGAAGCCCTAAAGGGAGAAGCCCCAAACTCCCTTGTGTGACGCTTTCTTGAGTACGCCCACACTCCCCTTTCTTAAGTGTGGATTTTTCACTTTGTAATAAATCTCCATATTTTCACTATTTTCTGACTCATCCTTGAATTCCTTCTCTTGATGGTGTCAACAGCCTGGACACCAGCTGGGGTGGATATCCCACCAGTGTTTTCCATTCCTCCCCAGCCCACCAATATCATCATCATCCCTTTTTCCAATCAGGCAGATAAAATTGACTCACATCATTTAAGTGGCCACTTCTTTGCCTAAATATCAGGCCAACTTTGGAGGTGCTATGTGGTATAAACAAAACATCTGTCTTCTGGTTTTTGTGCCCATGTTGTTTTAATTTTCAATGTCCAAGATAATTTTTTTCATGCATCTTGAATTTTCTCATACAATTTTTCTCCAAGCTAGCAGGGAGGTGATTTGTGCCACATGATGAATAATATGCTAAGGAAATTCTCCCTATCTTCACACTTCTTTGAAAACACCCAGTACAAAAGACAATGATAATTTGAATATCTTAATGCCATTACATTAGCAAGGAAATTACTTCAGCATGAAGCCGTCACAATTTTTATTGCAAATATCAATGAATGGAAAGAGATTTTACCCTTGAGATTAAGAGCCTGTTAAAGGACAACAGATTGTTCTCCTGAAGTTATTTACTGAGCTGCCTAAACCCTTGCAGTATCTTAACTTAACAAATACTTTTAACTATTAAAAAAAAAAAAACCCCTTTCTTCTGGATATTCATATTTTTTTTAAGTATAAATGCTTCTGAGAATTTGTTCAAATCACACAACCATTAATCTATTATTGGCTATAGTAGAAAAAAAAGGCAGGGTCAGTGACATAAGTAGATGACTTTTTGGAATGAAAATAAAGAGTTTGACCTTATGTCTCAGTTTATGAATATGCTAATAACCATTAACTTGCTCTGTTTTTTTTTTTTTTTTTGGATTTTTGTTCTGGCAGCTCTTTAAGAACTTGGTAATGACAATTTTTCAGGTGACTTTCTCGCAAAAGCAGGGTGCAGTTGTAATAATATTTCAGTAATAGAAACAGTAGGCAAGCAGAGGAAGGAGGAGGCATGGAGGAAGTCACTTCAAAATTTGTCTGTGTCTATATGTTTATTTTTTAATTAAGACAAAGGTATAAAATGACTTGTGCAGCATGTTGTTTACGTTTTCATTATATAAATAATTAAAACGTTTAAAAAGATTAAAATATTAGCCTTGAGTTATTATAAACAGCAAGTGTCAACACTGCATACATACACTTAACTAAAATTAAATTATGGAATTCTCTAACCAGAGTGAATAAGTTATTAAAATTAAGCCAGTGGAAGCAATCTACACCAAATAAGCTATAATTTGATACTGAAATGAATAGTACATCTTCCACAGGGCTCCACATTCAGCCTCCTTCTCCTCATTCTCTTCTCTATTTCCTGGGCACCTGCTACTATCATCCATGAAATGATCATTGCCAAATCTCATCCCATTCTCTGACTCCTATCATGAGTTGCAGACTTACTTTTTCAATTATTGTATCCTTTCTTTTAGATTGGGGTACCTAAAGGCAACATATCCTCAAACATTCTCCTCTTCTTTCCCTTCCCAATTTTTGGTTAATGGCACCATAGTTCACCTAGGTGCTCAAACTGGGAAACTGTGAGTCACCATGGCAACCCCTTTCCACCAAGTCTCCACATCCGGGTGGTAACTGTCTTTTTCTGTCTATTCTACCTTTTTAGTAGCCCCTGAATTTATCTCTTCTCTATTTTTACTGCCACTGCCACATTCAAGCCCTCATCATTTCTCACATGAATTCTAACTGATGCCTATATTTTCTCGCCCTTCCAACTTCTTAGCTATACTTTGGCTAAAGTGCCCTTTCTAAAGTGCAAATCTGACCATGTCTTTCTCTCTCACATTTGTCATCCCAAGTCTTGTCATCATTTACAAGAAAAAGCTAAAATGTTTTAGTTCAGTCTGGCCTTCATTCCAGCCTTATCTGTCACTCCTCTACAGCATCTTGTGTTTTCAGCCATGTTAGAGGAGTCATGATCCTTCCAACGATCCTCTCTGTCTTTATATATTATGTTCTGGAATGCTTTTCCTCTGTTCTTCATTCAGAAAGCTTCTGGGCTTACTTTAAGATTCAATTCAAATGTAGCTTCCTTTAGGAGGCTTCTTTGAGCTCCGAATGCAGTTAAGCACACTCTTTTCTGTGCTTCCATAGTGCCCTGTTTGTGTTTGTAACATGCCATATACCTCACATTGCTCTAATTCTTAGTTTATGTAGTTCTCTCCCTAAAACTTGTTTTCTGGAAGACCAAAAAGCACTCTACTCATCTTTACATCCCTGGTGCCTAGGATATAGCCAACAAATCTATAGAGCCACACTATACACCATGTGTTATGGGAGGTGCCGGGTTACAAAGATAAATAATACCGCTAGCACAGGGCTTGGTATATGCTATGGTATATATGCTATGGATGGTATAACCTATCCATGCTCAAATCTACACATCTATCCTTTCATCTATCCATTCCATCAATACTTGTTGAGTGCCCACTAAGAGCCAACACTGTATTCTCTAATGATGAGCAAAATAATGTGATCTCTGCTCTCGCGAAGCTTATAATCTACTAAGATAAAGAGATGTTAAAAGAGTAAGCACGTAAATAAATTATTGCAAACTATGAAAAGCCTATGAAGGGCAAGAACAGAATATTATAAAAGGGAACATGATATAGGGAACCTTTGTAGATTGTGTGTTTGGTAAATCAGTGAATGAAATAAAACAAAGTTGTAAATGGTTGTTCCGGAGGAAGCATGTTCCTTTGTCTCTAGCACATAAGAGGCCAGCTGTTTCCAGGAACTAAATGTTCATAGCTGGCTGAGGCTTCTGAGAGATGGAGACTACTTTCTTTAGGGCCAAGTCCCTCTTTCACAGAACTGGTAAAAACACAGCTGTGGCCAAAAGAAGAAAGAAGAAGCGTGTCTTGTGGCTCCTTTCCCTGAGGTTTGAGTCAATAAAGAGTACAATAGGATCAGAGGGGATTTTCCCAGAAAGGTAGGAAACTACTAAGAACTGAGGCTATTAGTTGGTCTACAATAGGATTTCTTTACTTTAGGACTCTATTCTTTCCCTTTATCTTTACTTATTTTACTGAAGACATACTCTGTCGACTAGTTCAGCATCCTGGCTTTATGTAACTTTTTCTTGCTGCTAAGTGTTTGCTATTTGATTTTTTTCTATTTCTTTTTCATTTTCCTTCTACCTATTAAATCTTTTATCTTTCTGTTTTAAGCTTGCTTTACTTCACCATGAGTCCTTGTTTCTAGACTTTAAGAATTTAAATTCTGTTTTATGCTCTTATAAAATTTTACTATTAAATTTATGATTTGTATTTCTACTTTTTTTGCTTACTTTAATGCTTTAACTCTTTAGCTGTGGTTTCTACTCATATCTTATATATTTTAATGTACTTTAACTCTGTTACTTAAAAATTCTTCATTCTTAAAAATTTTTATTGGGTTTTTAATTATTTTAGCTTAATTTTTATTGATTTTGTATTTAATTTCTTTTAGTTTTTAAAATTAGACTTTCTGAATATAAAGAAATGTTTGTTCATTAATATAATTTATAATATATAAAAGTACAAGAAAGAAGGTAAAAATTATCTGTAATTCCACCATCCTGAGATAACCAGTTAAGATAATATATGTGAATATATCCTATATATTACTATGGGGGATATATTATATACACACATATACACACATATGTATATATGTGTGTGTTTTAACCATAAGATTAGTGTTATATTGGAGCTTTGTGTGCTTGCATCAGACTGCTTTGGTGAGTTAAATGTAGGTTGAATTTCCACAAAGTCTTCTGGGTAGAGGATATCCAGGAGCAATTTGGGACCATCTGGAAGCTTTAGGGGTATTTACTTGATGGTAATATTGAACTGTTGCATAAAGTTCAATCCACTAGCCTGCTGTGATCTGAGTTATCATGTCTAGATAAGCTTCTCCAGTGCATATGATAGTGTGAGCATGTTGTCCATGTATTCATGGGCTGTTCAAGATAATGCTTTCAAAAGGAAGAGACTCCCATCAGATCAGATTCCATAAGACATAGGTACAGTAGTAGAAGTTTTCAGGAGCTAGAATCCTGGAGGTAGAGGCATCTCTCTTGCCAATGTTGGAAGGATCTGGCTGTTGGTGGGGGTAAGCCAGGACCAGGACAAAGGTAAATCAGTTCTTTAGCTTTTCTGTTAATTTCTTATGGCTGCTGTAACAAATTGCCAAAAATTTTGTGGCTTAAAACAATACAAATTTATTGTTATAGTTCTAGGGGCCAGAAGTCTGAAATCAGTTTAACTGGGCTTAAGTCAAGGTGTAGGAAGGGCTAGCTCTTTTTGGAGGCTCTAGGGAAGAATCTATCCTTTTCCTCTTCAAGATTGTAGAGGCTGTTGGCATTGGCTTGATTGGAAGCATCACTCTAATCTCTCTCTCTCTCTCTCTCTTATTTTTTTTTTTATTTTTTGAGATGGAGTCTTGCACTGCTGCCCAGGCTGGAGTGCAGTGGCACAGTCTCAACTCACTGAAACCTCTGCCTCCGGGTTCAAGTGATTCTCCTGCCTCAGCCTCTCGAGTGGCGGGGACTACAGGCGCACACCACTACATTTGGCTAATTTTTGTACTTTTTATTAGAGATGGGTTTTCACCATGTTGGCCAGGCTGGTCTCAAACTCCTGACCTTGGGTGACTCACCTGCCTCAGCCTCCCAAAGTGCTGGGATTATAGGCATGAGCCACCGTGCCTGGCCAACTCTAATCTTTCTCTCCTTCAGTTGTCATCTTCTATCTCACTTATCTCCTGTCTCTCTCTTATAAGGAGAGTTATATGGCCTTTGGGGAGATATAGTTTTGTAAAAGCCTGTGTCTCATCAAGCTAACAACTGAGAGAGCAGGCTGAAGAGCAGTGGTGTGGGTAATGGTTACAAAATGCTATGGTGGTCCTTATATAGAGCTCACCATTCTTTTTTTTTTTTTTTTTTTGATAAAGTCTTACTTCATTGCCCACACTGGAGTGCAGTGGCATGATCATGGCTCACTGCAGCCTCAATCTCTTGGGCTCAGGTGATCCTCCCACCTCAGCCTCCCAAGTAGCTGGGACCACAGGTGTTCAATGACACCTGGCTAATATTTTTTTTTTTTCTGTAGAGTTGGGATTTTGCCATGTTGCCCAGGCTGCTCAGAGCTCCCCATTCTTTTGTGTGAAGAACATCACAGCTTCTGCAAGGAAAGTGCGAGGGACCTCTGCCTCAATTTGATATCCATTATGTTATTGTGAAGAGTATCAGCTCTGAGAAAGGAAAATGAACTCTTGGGATTCAGCTATGACATCAGCAGAATAGCTATTCTATGATGGGGGTTGGTGTGAGGAACAACCAGTTGCTCTTTATGTCAGTAAATGATACATACATCCAGCCAGAAACTTGGAATCACCTTTGACTTCTGCTTTTCCTTTCACTGCTAATAAATCATCAAGAACTGTCAATGCAAATCCCCATATATAATATTAACACATCCACTTCTCTTCAATTCTACTATCCTTGTCTTGGCTTAAGTAAGATTTCATAAACATTTCTGCAACAGCCTACTCATTTCTCCTTTATATTCATCTCACCACCATTATTCTACCCTCTACAGTAAAATGAGACTTCATATCACTCCCTGGGTCAGTTGGAGTCCTCTGGAAAACAAATGGTAAGACAAAACTAGAAGTGAGAGAGATTTATTGGAGGAGAAAATACCTGTGAAAGACAAAGGGAAGAGGAGGAGTGTATGGGGAGAGCCTCAGACCATGTTATAGAAAAGGGGGAGGGAGCAAGGAGAATTAGGTAGAAAGCACCTTGGATGCCAGCACACTTTTGAGAAACTCTTGGCTACCCTGATGGAGAAGTAGATGGCCTGTGAGAGGAGTCCCGTGTTGGGCAGCAATGGCCTGGCTCTAATACCTTCATTGCATTGTGCTTAGTCATTGGCTGGAAGCAGCCCAAGGGAAGCATGACCTCAGCATGCACACTACAGAGGAACCAGAAGGTGCACAGCTGGAAGAAGCTGTTAGCTGACTATGCTCCTCGCAACTGGTCCTCTTTTGGAGGATGATTTGAATGATGCATCCTATGGCTACCACACTCCCCTTTTTAGAACCCCTCAGTTGCTTCCCTTTTGAATCCTTAACATGGCTCACAATCTCTGACTCTTGTCTATCTCTCCAGCCTCATTTCAATTTTTCCCTTCTATTCCGCATTTCAGCCAATGAACTTCCTTCTGTTTTTTTGTATTCCCTACTATCTCTTTCCTTTGGGCAAGACCCTCTGCCTGAAATACTCTTTTCTCTTCTCATTTAGGTAACTCTTAGTCTTTCCCTGTGTTTCTGCCTAGATGTCCTGCCTTCTAGAAAGTAGTATAGCTTTCTACTTACGCTACTTCTACTTATTCATCTATTTATCCATTCATCAACCCAATCTGTTTTAAAAGTAAAACATGCTTATGGTAAAAACAAACATCAACAGCAAAGCAAAGTTCATCCTTTTCACCATTCTGATTTCAGTCTAGTAGGTACCATTATAAATTCTACTTTTATGTCTGTTGTTTTATAAAATTTAGTTTGTATCAGCTTTATACTATGAAAGGTCAAGAATTTAGTGGACTTATATTCATCCCACCTCCTTTTTCTTTCTTCACCTCTATGCTTTACTTAGGTATGTCAACCTAAATAACAGAGTCTCTCTAAAATAAAAAGATATTTATTTGGGAATAGGGCATTACAATGGAATACATGTGCCACAGTAAACTGTGTTTGTATTTAGGAAGGCAAAGGATGACAAAGGTTTTTTTGTTTGTTTGTTTTTTTTTTTTTTTTTTGAGACGTTCTCTTGCCCAGATTGGAGTGCAGTGGTGCGATCTCGGCTCACTGCAACCTCTGCCTCCCTGGTTGAAGCAATTCTCTCCCTCAGTCTCCTGAGTAGCTGAGATTACAGGCACCCGCCACAACACCCGGCTAATTTTTTGTATTTTTAGTAGAGACGGGGTTTCACCATGTTGGCCAGGCTGGTCTTGAACTCCTGAACTCGTGATCCACCCACCTCGGCCTCTCAAAATGCTGGGATTACAGGAGTGAGCCACCGCGCCCAGCCTGACAAAGGTTTTTAAAGGAAAAAGTGAAGAAGATTACATAATTGTTTTGAAATAATTATCCTTGGCTACAAAGATCAATAATAAGGGTGTTGCCAGTCCGAGTTTAGATAGGCAGCTGCTGGGCAGATGTCCTGGCATAAGTTTTTTTTGTGTATAAGGTTGCAATGGCCTTTGTCTGAAATTGTGGTTTTTGTAGCATCTTTTTTTGCCATCAGGCAGGCATACAAATGTGAGAGCCCTTTCTTTATGGCCTTCCTGGGCTCTATTAGTCAAAGTTTTCTTAACATTAGTGACTCCATTTTGATTCTGACAGCTTTCACAGGTATGTGTTTACCTATTTTAATGTTTACCTTTATACATTTGTGATATTCTGTATTTCTATTTGCTAACTCATTGCTCTATAAAATGGAGAAATAAGTACACCTTGATTTCCCCTGCATACACCTCTCCTCTTCTTTCTTCCTTTTGTCTTCTATTAACTGTGACAGTACTTGTATATTATAAGGCTTTTATTATTTTCTTTCTAGTCTACAGAAAGTGTAATTAAGTTTTCCATGCTTTTCCTATAATTAACTACAAATGGAAAAGCAGTAAATTGCATTTACAATATTGAGTAAGTAAATATTACACATTGAAGAAACAAATGGTATGATTGGACTCATAAAGACAGAAATGTTCATGGAATAAATCTACCCCTTTAGAATGAGAATGTTCTGAATATTCTCTTTTCTTTCACTCCAAAAAATGGCTCATCATTGAGTTCTCAATTGCTTTTCTTTTTTCTTGTTTCCAGGGGAAATACACGCCATCATTTTACTATTAAGAACTTCAGGGTTTTAATCATACAATTCGAACAATAGAATCTTTCTCTTTTGATGACATTTTTTCATGGAATGTTCTGATTTTCTGTTTTAATTTCATAGACATGCTGTTGTCCTGAAATGGCCTGACCCCCAGGTTAGTGCCACTCTTTCTAGGATCTGACGCTTCCCTCTTTCTTGACTTCCTTTTTCATTTTATTGTAGTATATCCTCAAGCATTTTTTTTTTCAAAGAGGCTACATGGGACATAAATTTTCTGAGTGCCTGACCAACAGAGTGGCACTGTTGTGTAGTAGTTAAGAGTGTAGAGTCTGCAGCCAAACTTCCTGGATTCAAAACCCAACTCTGCCTTCTACGAGTGGCATGATCTTTGGCAGGTTTCTCAACTTCTCTATACTTCTGGTTTTTCATTTGTAAAACCAGTGATAATAATAGTACCGAACTAGCTGGGCTGTTCTGAGTATAAAATAAATAAGTTAATAATTGCAACGAGCATGGAGATACAACTGGCTCATAGTAAGAGTTCATTAAATATTAGCCATTACTATAAACCTGAAAATGCCATGATTTTCCCTCACCTTTAACTAATAGTTAATCTGAGTATAAGATTCTAGATTTGAAATCATTTTCTCTTAAGTTTTGTGGAAACTCATGTGTTGCTCTTCAGATGCTTAATTCTATTTCCTTTGTGGGTAGTCTGCTTTTAAATGTTTTAACCATTCTGAGATATTTTAGCATTTTCTCTTTTTTACTTTATTTTATTTTTAGGCGACAGGGTCTCGCTCTGTCACCCAGGCTGGAGTGCAGTGGCGTGATCATAGCCCACTACAGCTGCCATCTCTCAAGCGATCCTCCCACCTCAGCCTCCTGAATAGCTGGGACTACAGGAATGCACCACCATGCCCAGCTAATTTTTTAATTTTTGTTTTTAGTAGATATGAGGTCTTACTATGTTGCTCAGGCTGGTCTCAAGCTCCTGAGCTCAAGCAATCCTCCTGCCTTGGCCTCACAAAATGCTGGGATTCAGGCGTGAGGCACCATACCCAAGCAGCATTTTCTCTTTATACTCAAAGTTCTAAAATTTCACCAGGATATGTCTAGGTGTAGTGTTTTCCTTTTATATTCATTAATGCTCAGAGAACTCTTTCATTTTGAGGATTCTAGCTTTTCTCCCAGGGACATTTTATTCTATTAATATATGTACAGTCTCCATTATATTATTTGTGCTTTCTTTTATAGTAATATCTAACATTTTCATAACTTTGTTTTCTTTCTTTATTCTTTTTTTTTTTTTTTTTTTAGAGAGATGGGCTGTCAGCATATCGCACAGGCTGAGGCCAGAGGATGACTTGAGGACAGGAATTCTCATGTGATCCTCCTGCCTCAGCCTCCCAAGTAGCTGGGATTACAGGTGCAAGTCATTTCATCTGGTTACAACTTTATTTACAAGATCACTAATTTGAGCTTTAACCTTGTTTATTATGTTCTTTTTGTTTGTTTTGAGACAGAGTCTCACTCTATCACCCAGGCTGGAGCTGGAGTGCAGGGGTGTGATCACAGCTCACTGCAACCTCAAACTCCTGAGCTCAGGCAATCCTCCCACCTCAACCTCCTGACTAGCTGGGACTATAGGTGCTTGCCACCATACTGGCTCATTCTGTTAATTCTATAATTTAGCTGTTCTATTTTTTTCTTTTAACAATCATATTTTGAGGCCTCTTCTTTTCTTTTTTTTTTTTTAAGACAGGGTCTCACTGCATCACCCAGGTTGGAGTGCAGTGGCACAATCACGGCTACTGCAACCTAAACCTCTGGGCTCAAGCGATCCTTCCACCTTAACCTCCTGAGTAGCTGGGACGACAGGTAAGTTTTACCACACCTGGCTAATTTTCAAATTTTTTGTAGAGATGGGGTTCTTGCTATGTTGCCCAGACTGGTCTCAAGCTCCTGGACTCAAGCAATCCTCTTGCCTTGGCCTTCCAAAGTGCTGAGATTACAGATGTGACTGACTGTGCCACTTATTTTCTTATTGATCTTTTAATAGCAGCCTATTTTTGTTCTAATCTTGCAATATCTTCCTAAATCTCCTTGAGAATACTATCTTTAATTTACAAAGGTTTTTTTTCTATTCCTTGCATCATCTCTTTCTTCTGAATTAATTGTTTGTTGCTTATTGATATTGATATTGATCTTTTTCTTTTTGTTATTAGTTTTCCTCAAAAGGACCATGTTAATTAGTATAGGTGGGCAGCTGAGCTTGCTTTACAGTTGTATAGATCTGATTACCCAACAACCTTCTTCCCTGACAAGCAGAGTTCTTTGGGCAAGAGGGTAGTTCCAGTGGATGCAGGCATCTCTTATAGTTCATAGACAGGGAGGCAATTGCCAATCAGCAAGGAGGGCTTGACTCTTGGGGATGAGCTGATTCTAGCTCAGTCAATCAGTGTTCTAGAGCCTCTAGATTCAGCACACATGCTATGTTCTCTTGATTTTTGTTTTGGCGGTCCACTTTAGGCTCTTTTCTACTTTTTCTCCAGTCCCAACAGCCATACCCAGTAGAAATGAAAATGCTCAACTGGCTGCTCTCTGCTCATATGAGAGGAAGTTGAGGAGCTTAGTGGTTCCTCAAAATTTTTGCCGTTCAGCCCAAACATCTTGATCTTTGTACCTGCTGACTGTGAACTTGGATTCTCTAGAAGCCTACTCTGGAAGAATGTCTCCTACCTCCTCTGTAGTTTTATTCTATGAGCATTTGGAATCATGATTTCTTCTCTTTGTTTTCTCTGACCATTTGAGCCCATTTGCATTCCAACTTCTAGAAAAACATAATTTCTTACCTGCTGAAGGCACGCTTTATTCCATGGATTTATTCCATTTCACATTATTCCTGAAATTGAATCAGGTCATGAGAGAGTTGGAAAATGTATGCTCATTCACTCATCTTGAGCCAGAACTTTCACACTAATTTTAAAAAATTAATCTTTAAAATCTATTTAATCTTTTGAATAGATAATACATAATACATTCACATCAATCAAAATCACAAGATATAAAAAGGTACTGAATGGAATAGGAAATGATTGCTCCACACTGGTAGTAAGCGTATATGCACGGGCTCCATGGCAACAGTGCAGACAAGAGCATCAGCTTCAGGGCAACCTGTGCTCCTCCTTCTGGACAGCGCTCAGCTCTACACAGTCTCAACAGCTGCAGCTTCACAACAGCATGAACCACGTTAATTAATACAATATACATGCATTGGAGAATATAGACCATTTCTCTGACTATACGCAAGAAAAACTTATCTGGCTGATTAATTCACTAACTGTAAGTAACTTATACAGACTAGTTGGTTTGCAAGTTTGAGGTGTGTGTGTGTGTGTGTGTGTGTGTATAAAGATAAATGTATATATAGTGTTATAAATGCATAGCTCTAAATTATGTACTTTTATATAAATATGACACTATATATTATATATCATAACATATAGACAATTATTCTGACATGGACTACAAATTTTTTTTGGTTTTACTTTTTTTTTTTTTTTTGAGATGGAGTCGTGCTCTGTCACTAGGCTGGAGTGCAGTGGCATGATCTTGGCTCACTGCAACCTCTGCCTCCCGGGTTCAAGCGATTCTCCTGCCTCAGCCTCCTGAGTAGCTGGGATTACAGGCGCGTGCCACCACGCAGGGCTAATTTTTGTATTTTTAGTAGAGATGGGATTTCACCATGTTGGCCAGGATGGTCTCAATCTCCCGATCTCATGATCCGCCTGCCTTGGCCTCCCAAAGTGCTGGGATTACAGGCGTGAGCCACCGCACCCGGCCTGTTTTACTTTTTTAATCTGCATTTTGTATGTTTTCTCATGCAGCTGTTTTTCTTTATGCTTAAATTTACCTTTTTTAAAATAATCCAGATTTTATTTCATAAAGACCATCCCTACCCTGGAATTACAGAAAATTATCCTGTGTTTTTCTATTCCTTTTACAGTTCTACTCTTCTACATTAGAAGTTTTACCATATTGGGTTTGGCTTCGTGTTAAATGTGTGAGGTTTTAATCCAACTGTATTTTTTCCAGATGGCCACCCATCTGTCCCAATAATTTATGCACTCAGTTTTGATTTTGGCATCTGGACCATTTTCCCCAACAATGGTCAACCTTTTAACATTCCAAATATGAGCCTGAGCAAAATGGCAGAATCTCTTTCAAGTAGAATGACTTTGAAGTCAGAAGCAAGGCCAGCAGAGGAAGACAGCCGTGAGATTCTAAGCCAGCAAATGCCAGCACTGGAAGCCACTGGCACAACTGATGAATCCTCTTGGACCCAGTGGGCTCCTTCACATGACGTCACACTGGAGTGAGCTCCTTTACAGTAGGTTCTCCTGGGACATGGCCTGCTGCTGTCCTGAAGAGGAGATCTCTTATGCATTGGATTTTCTGTTGGTTTTTAATAGCATAGGCCTAATAGAGACCTAGATGCCATGATATTCATTTTTCCATTTTCCCTGTGCATTTGCAACAGTTATCTTTGTCTATCATAGAAAACCCTTTGGTCAAAGGTAAGAGTAGATTAGAAGTCTTTTTCTTGTCAACCTCAGGAGAGCACGAACAAGCCTCCCATACAGGGAATTCTCCGTCAGGAATTTCTTTGGTTGTGACTTCTTTTCCTGGCAAGATGACTGTGATTTGCCTTCACACTTACACATTCTCTGTTAAAAGGTACAGTGTCTGATTGGGCCTGTGGCACTCTTTTATGTTGTTTCAATTTTTACTTATTCTACATAGTTTACAAAGGGTTGAGTTGCTTCTGGGGCCCTCAGTACCACAACTGGAGGTATGGTCAATGGACTCTTCCTACTCTGGAATTGTTGGGGGGTGGGAGAGCACTTTCTGAAAGCATTTGAAAAAGACAGATACATTTTTCTACACAGAATATTTCTCCCCGTATCTATCCAGGAAATGAATATGTTGGAGCTGAAAGGGAGAACATGGGATCAATTTGGGGACGTTTATTCATGTTTTTTTTTAGAAACTAGCATCATAGATTAGGTTCGTTTTTGTTCCTGTATCTTAATTACCATGACTCTTTTAGATTGCATGAAAAGCGATTATTTCCACCTCATTGTTTTCACCGCAGAGTCTATCTGTACTCATAATTAGACCTGGGATGTTAGAAGATGAAGAGTAGCGTGAAACAAAGAACTGAAAACTATGGGTGACATTTTACTTTCTGAAAACTTTTAAAACCTTAGAAAATCCTTCTCATGTGCTTTGAGGGAGAAATTTCTTCTGTCATCTTCTATTATTGGGTGACTAATGATTTAAAACTGGTTTAAACTGCACAGTAGCCCTGCAAATGTGGCATTCTCCTTTCTATTGCCTGGTTTGGCAAGAATGCTCAGCCAGCAAATAAAAACTCTGGCCAGCGTGGTAAGGTAACATAGGAAGGAAAATTAGAAGAGGCCAACTACGCTTTTATCATACAATAAATTTCTTACTATGTGGGAAAAAAATTTTCAGGTATAATAAATATAAAAGGACCTGAATTTAGGTTAACTGTCCAATAATTAATGTAGATTCAGGGGCACAGTAATACAAGGTATGAATTTGATAAATAAAATTATGGAAGTATAGATTTCATTCATCCTCTGAGTGCTTCACTTTTCTCCCCTCCCCTCCACTTCCCTCCCCTTTCGTCTCCTATTCTCTCCTCTCCTCTCCTCTTTTCTTTTTTTCTCAGCTCACTGCAACTTCCACCTCCCAGGTTCAAGCGATTCTCCTGCCTCAGCCTCTCAAGTAGTGCTAAGTTTTGTATTTTTAGTAGAGACGGGGTTTCATCATGTTGGCCAGGCTGGTCTCAAACTCCTGACCTCGGCCTCCCAGAGTGCTGAAATTACAGGCGTGAGCCACAGCGCCCAACCTGGGTGCTTTACTTTTTTAAGTTTACAAACCAAGGTTAATGTCCCTAAAGTTTGTAGATCCCATGTCAAGTTTTAACTGGAATGTTAATATTACAAAACTAGATAGTATAATTGCTTTTAAAAAATAGACTTGCTAGGCATGGTTGTGTGTGCCGGTAGTCCCAACTACTTGAGAGGCTGAGGTAGGAGGATCGCTTGAGCCCAGGAGTTCAAGAACAGCTTCGGCAACATAGCAAAATCCCTCTCTAAATAAATAAACACATCAATAAAATAAAATAAAATTTAAAAATAAGCTCAATGTAAATTTACTCTTACTAAAGTTATGAATATGTTTCCTTCCATTAGTTGATATTAGACTGTGACCTTTCTGCATTTAGAAGAGAGAAACTTTCTTCTCCTCCTCCTCTAAAATTATTGACCTGTTGGTTTCTAGACATTCCATCCAAAATACATATTAACTTCCTTGCTAAGTTCTAAGTCTAAGCCTCTCAGATGAAAATTGTACTTGGAAGTATAGGTCAGCTTCAGACTTGCCTATTTCACTACAGACTAGAACTAGATTTTCAACATTTTGTGAGAAGAAAATGTTAGGATTATATGTGATTATTTGTGACTTACTGACCTTTTATTTACACCCCATGCCATTGCTGTGAATAAGCTATGAGCTAAGATATTATTAAACTATGAGTTTAATAAGGACTTCAGTGTGGCTGGGTGCAGTGGCTCACACCCGTAATCCCAGCACTTTCTGGGACTGAGACAAGAGGATTGCTTGAGCTTAGGAGGTTGAGACCAGCCTGGGCAACATAGTGAGACCTTGTCTTGACAAAAAACCTTTTTAAAAATTAGCCCAGCTACTTGGGAGGCTGAGGCAGGAGGATTGCTTGAGCCCAGAACTGTGTTTGCACCACTGCACTCCAACCTGGATGACAGAGCAGGAGAGCAAGTTCCTGTCTCAAAAAAATTAATAAATAAAATAAAAGACGTCAGTGTGTTGATGTTTATATAACCCTTGCAAATTGATAGGAATTTGCCAAACTGCATTTGAGGCCAAATTTATGTGCAACCTCAGAAAGAGCATAGAACCTAGGGCTTATATTTTATATCCTAATCTCACTGAGGCTG
Source organism: Homo sapiens (assembly GCF_000001405.40). Lineage (NCBI taxonomy): Eukaryota > Metazoa > Chordata > Mammalia > Primates > Hominidae > Homo > Homo sapiens. The sequence goes on along the minus strand of NC_000012.12, from coordinate 45,651,507 downwards.
TTCATTTCCTTTCCTCCTGATTGCTTTACTTAATTATATTTCTGTTGTATTTTGAAGCTCATCTTCAATAAGCTTGCAAGATGATGTATAAATATGTTTTAATACTTCTTTGTTCTAAAACAACTAAAGTCTTGTTTTGGAATGATCCTCAGAGGGTTAAAATTTGATATCAATAAATACTTATGCTCTCATTTCATAATATTATATTAAGGAATTACAGTGACAATGTGCTCTGTCCAAAACACAGTTGTCTGTGGCTGAATGTTATAAAATGATGTGATCAGCATTTTACAATCCAGAAGCCGCAAGTAATGCAAGCTTGAAAATCAGTTGTGTAAAATTTTCAGTAAGACTGATTTTATCTAGAAAAATAGCTTTCTTTTTTTAGGTATTAGATATGTAATTTCTTACTTGGGGAGTTATAGAATATGGGTTATAAATAGAGCTGATTTTATTTCTAGACTGCTATCCAGTTAAGACACATCTAAAGAATATAATTCTCCTTTCACTAAAGTTGGCATACATTATAAAAAGAACTATGGCACTTCTTGTTAGTCCAGTTTTAGTACTCATGTAGTTATATGATTTTTTATACAAACTCCTTTTTTGGGAATGAGAGTATATGGGAAGCTTATTTATTTACCTGTTCAATGAATAAGTATTTACTGTTGACCTACTATGTCATTCAGCACTGAGTTCTAGGAACTCAAGAATAAATTGAGGTATGTTTCCTTTTCTGGAGGAATTTATAGGCTACAGCCAAATATGCAAATAAGTTACAATGTGATATGATCATTTCTATATGAATATACAGATAACTTTCAGTAGAAGAAAAGTAAGAGTCCTGCAGCCTGTCTAGGGATAGCATGTTAGCTGAGGTGGGAAGTATGAGAAGAGTTTTCCAAATGCAAAAGCAGCACAGGGAACGGCATGTGGAAAGGAAGGATGTGTGAGAATTTGGGGTATTCTGGAAAAAATGAGCCTTATTACAGGCAAAAGCTGGATTGGATGATGTCGCTTAGATGTACAGTCACACTAGGCTTCTCAATACTTGTTCCTAAATTACATTTACCTCCTAAACTGCAGCACCCCTTCCTTAAAGGAGCAGAGACTGCCCCTGAAAAATTTTACCCTACAGATGAGCAAAGAATGGGATATTTTTTGCCGATTGGCTGGCTCCGAAGAGTTAAGTCAGTTATATGCAGTATATTCCCCAAAATTCGCCAGGAAAATCATTCATGCTTCCACAGGAAGGTGTGAGTTGGAGGTGATGGGCAAGTTGAAAGAGAACATGTGTGAAACTGTGGCAGGAATCTCCTAACGGAAACATGAGGCCAAGGAAAAGGATGTAGATGGCAGTGAACATTGAAAAGTTTTAATTGGGGTATGGTTTCCATTTTCATTATACTAAGAAAGAACATTCAGTGTGAAGTGTGAAGGAGGAGTCCGGAGGGAGTAACACTGGAGGCAGAGATCTCTGAGGAGGCTGTGGTATTCTCGTAGAGAGAGATGACTTGGACCAAGGGTTGTAGAGATGTAGGCAGGTAAAATTGGTAGGACCTAGAGTTTGGTTGGATAAGGAAAATAAGGAGGAAGAAAATGCTAGAATGACTTCCAGGTTTATGGCTTAGGAAACTGTTATTCATTGAAATAGGTCATATAAAGCAAAAATAAAAGAGCGAATTCAATCTGGGACACCTGGAGTTGAAAATGGTTGGAGGGAATCAAAGTATAGATATTTATTGGAGGTTGGAGAAATGGATCTAGAGGTCAGGAAAGAGATGTGAGCTAGTGATAGAGATTTGGAGTGATTAGCAATTTGATCATAGTTCAAGCCAAGTCCATGGATTAAGTAGGTTGGGAAGAGTTTAAAAAGAAGGTCTCCCCATCTCCATTGGTCAGAATGAACTGGGATGGTTATTGGGTACAGTCTTAATCTCTCTCCCCTTTTTATACTACATAGCACTGTGTTTTCTGTCTCTACTGGAATAATGTTGGGTAAATTTAAACTTTAACTCAATCTCAGTTTAACAAAGATAATCTTGTTTTTTTTTTTCATTCAAATCAGAATATTACCAAAGTGTAATTTAGAGGCAGTTTGAACTGTAGGTAGTCATTTGGACATGACTAATCCTGACAAAATTTTTTAGCTACAGTAAATTCAATTCATTAAGGCCCATAATACATATTTATTTAGAAATGGAATAGGAAGCATTGATAACACTTACCAAGTCATTGTTTGAAGCTTAGTCTGTTGTCTAAGACCATAATTCTAAAGCACGCATTCTCAGTGGAAGCTACAGAGTCTCCTATCCTGACCATTGGAAAGCAAATACAGGTTTTTAGGGGGCAAGAAACCCAAGATATTACCATGGTGGTCTCCCGTACCTCAACCTCACCTAACAAAATTGGATTCCTTAGTATTTAATCTTTTGTTATAGAGAATTTAAATTAAATTAAATTTTTCTCCCTAGGGACTAGTAATGAAAAAATTTTAAAAATTTTTCAAAATTTCAAAATTTGAAAATTTTTTTAAAAAGGGCCAAGAAAACACTAACTCTAGAGATGTTAATAAAATAATTTGTAGAAGAAATTAATCTTATGTGTTTTCCCTATGGGTTCTAGTGTCTGGGATGAATTGGCTTTTTTTTTTTTTTTTTTTTTTTTTTTTTGCTAGGGTTCATTTAGTGAAAAGGACAAAACAAAATCTCTTGACTTTGAAGTTTTTGCAGCTGTAAAGTTTTTTCAGCTATTCAGTGTAGGATTTACAGAAAAATGAGCATCTAACTGTATAATGCTTCAACACAAAGATTTACTTTGAGCATTGGCTGATTTTTTTTTATCTGATACTAAAAGGATCTGGTTATTTTGGGTTTTGGACAACATATTAAATAACTACATATGTATAAATCATTTTATCATTGGCAATTTGAAGGTATACTCCTTGAGCTTAGGGATTGTGATGGTATGTGTATCAATAATGGTTTTTTAATTACAAAAATATAGCTGCCTCTCTATATCTACATGCAAAAAGGATCCAGGGGAAGGTTGGAGAGCCAGGAACTTGAGCAGTTTCCAAGCAAGATGAGGCACAGCCAAGATCCCACCACAGGCTGATTCTGTTTAGGATCCTGCCACTGGCACAGTTGCCACTGGACAGTCGCGGGCACTGGCACTGCTGCTGCTGGCAGCACCACCCTGCACCTGTGCCATCAACAGGCTGCAGTCCAACCACAGCAGCTGCTGTGATGAATCTTTGACCTTGTGCTTTCGGTTACTCCATTAAGTTTCAAAGTCCAAGCAGTAGCCTCTGCCTGGGTCTGCTCCACCTGCCAGAACTCATGGAATATTTACCTTTCCTTGGCTGTCACAGTGAGCTGCTCCCCACTTATCTTGGGATTTCCCCCCAATAGAAGAGGTGTTTATGTGCTGAGAAACCAAAAATGCCAAATGTTTCATACAAATCAATAACTACCACTTGAGTAATGCTTTGCAGTTTGCAGAGTGCCTTGATACATTTCTCTTTAGTTCTTAGTACAACCCAGAGAGTACTCTCATTTTTGAGATGAGAAAACTAAAGCTCAAAGAGGTTGACGATCTAAAAGTTGCAACGCCAGGGAAGAAACTAAAATTTTTGAGTGCCTGTCATGTTAACTACGTTTTTTTTTCATACAGTTTCTTATTTGATTCTCACAAAACTTCATGACATAGTATACTTATTTCTATTATTCTCCAAATGGATAAATAGAGGCACTTCTAGCAAGTGGCAGAACTGGGATTCATTCCCAAGTCTTCAACTCCAAATCCCATTCTCATTCTACAGCTCAGTGAAGTTACCTTATCGAGTGTTTCCCTTCCTTTTCCAACACTTTCTACATTCTTTTTGTACCACCTGCTATTGTTCTACTCTTGTATCTCAGAAGTATTTGTCGAAAAAATTCATCTCTAAAACTTTCCCCAAGGCCCTAGCCATGGGAGGATATTCCATAAAGTTATTTTCTGACAGTTTTCTTCTAGTGCATTGGTCAATATGAAAATGCAAAATGGATACAGATATGGCTCTAGGGGATATTTCTTTACTATAGAGATTTTGCATGTCAAATATGTCACAAACAATGTAATCACTACCAAATGCTGACAGTGCTATAAATGAGATGTTTTGTGTGGTATACCTTGTATGTACAGTCATCTATTATACACTTTCAGAGCTTTAATGGTCTCCTCTGTACCCATGACCCCCAGAAGCCCTGCTATCTCACTTAACTTGCTTATGTTTGGGGAGGTCATCTTGGGAATGCAGCACAGGAATTGGATAAGGGCTCACCTGCAGTCACTTAGCCTCTTTCTAGCTATGATAACACTTGAGGATCTAAGGATACCGACTCCTAGCAGAATCAAGCCCATGAGTTAGGTATAGAATTTAACTTTATTCTCAGGTATTGTTGTTGCTGACTCTGCATTTCTAGACTTTCATTCAGAGTTGAGAGGACTTGAAGACCTACTTGTGCTTCCATGCCTTAGTTTATCTTTCTGTATTTGATCCTTGCCCGCCTACACCTCTAGATTGCTTAGTCTTCTTTCGCCATATTTTCTCCTCTATCTCATCTTTTGGAATCTCTTTAAGTACTCCAATTGTTTCTAGGATTTTAAGTTAAAGGAGTCTGACCAGTTGGATATCTACTTACAGCTGCAGAAAAGATTTGCTTTAGACAAAACCTGGGCAAGCATAATGGGGACTCTTCCATCTCTCCAGCACGTAGGTCTTGACTTTCTTTAACAATCCCACTGTTCCTTCCTCATGCAATCGGATAAAGAGCAATTGAAGATATCTCAGAAAGGTTGTTAACCTCTAGATTATAAGAAGATAACTGAAGAAAAGCCAGGAGGCCTGACAAGGAGAAAGGAATACTGGGTTTGCTTAATGGATAAATGCAGAACTATTGTAAAGGCGTTTGATGCAAATACACTTTAAGATTATCCATCTCATTTTGTTTTTCTGATAGCACAGGTACACTAACTGGCTTTCTTCAGATTTTGGTTTGGTTAGTTTCTCCTGAGAGCAGATCCAGGCATGCAGAGGCCTCTTCCCACTGCCATCCTCTTATTGTTTATACCAGTAAGTCCTATGCCTCTGGGATAAAAAAGCAGCTCACAAGGGAGTTTAGAGACCTAAGCCCTACAGAACTGAGTTTGGTTATAAAACCAAACTGTAAGGACACAAAATCTGGAGTCTGTCTAAATGCTGCGGTTAAATTACAGCTCTTAAAGAGGATGGGAAGTGCAATTTAATCATTCATTTATTCATTAAGCATTTCTTGATTTGTTCTATGTGTCAGATTTCTAAGTAAAGTAGAACAAGAACTTCTCACAGTCTGGTTAACATAGACTCTTGAACTGATAAGTCACAGTGCAATGTGGCAAGAACTATAATAGGATATGGTAACTAACGGGGTGAGTACATTTGAGCAAGAATCTTGAAAATATCAGACTTCACTTTGGTCTCAGTGATCAAGTTTCCCTTTCAGAGTTGTTCATTTATTCTCAGCAACACAATAGAGCTACATGATAGAGCTGGAACCAAATGCCTGTGGGGGTGGGAGGGAAGGTGGAGCCTGGAGAAGATTCCAGGAGGAAGTCTGGATTAAAGTGATATCTTAGTGGAAAATGTGTATTTTTTATATAAAGGAAAACATTATAAATGGTTTTATTTTCTAAACATCAATATATATCAGGATTTAGAATTTGTAAATATAGGGCAATGTTTTATACACACACATGCATTCACATCCTAAATATAAAAATATATACACAAAATTTTTTTTTCACAGAAGTACTATTTCAACCCCGAAACTTCCTTTTCACAGCATTACTAAATATGCAAATACTAATCGGCTTAAATTATTATAGGGAACAGTGCTAATTTTTAAAAAATCCTATATTTGGATCTTAATTTGTATATGTTAAAAAGTTATAATTTTAAAAATTGTGAAGCTTTGTCTTATGAATTAGAACATATCCCAAATACAGTGTGACTAATTTGTGTCCTAAAAACCAACTATTTTCATATATTCTAGAAATATTTTTTAGAATTCAAAAAGATTGTAAAATATTATTTTACTGCATGCAACTTTAAATTTGTAGTTGCAAATGTTTAGTTGGGAAATTAAGTACTCTAGTGATGTATAAATATTGAAAAATAGTGATTTTTAACTAGAATTAAGCATCTGAATTACCTGGGTTCTTCCCAGACCCATCAAATCAGATCTCCAGGGGCAGGTATGGGCATGTTTATATAGATTTTCAGATGTATATCCCTGTGTAAACTACCATTGCTGATAGATGTTACATGTTATTGACATTAAGCTCCATGAGGGCAGGAGCTCTGTCTATCTTATTCACTTTCTCCCTAGCGCCTGACATAATGGGTACTCAGTTTGCAGAAGGAATGGATGGGTGGCTCTGCCTCAGATTCATTTAGTATTTTTTCATCTACGAAACCCAGACACAACACCAACAATAAATTCTTATTCTGACACTGAAAAAGGAGTTTGTCTGAGTCCTTTGAACCTGGCTTGGCTCTGCTGAAGGGTCTCTTTTGGGGGCTTTGTTCTTGGCCTTTGCACCTGTGAGGCCCTCATTGTGTTCATTAGCTGCAGCTGCTCCTGCATTACCTCCTTGTCTCATATTCTCCCTTGAACCATCTGGGCTTTCCTCTCCCCTGCCACCAGCCCCAGCATGATTTCTAACTGGGGCTGCAAGAACTACATGTCTCAACTCGATCTCCTTAGACTCCTCCCCACAGCTGCAGAAAGAACTTTCTTCCTCTTCCTATGTGGCAGGAAGCCACCCTTTTGTCATATCCTGCATTTTCCCACTCTGTGGCTTATGAAGAAACTCTGTTTAGTCCTCCAGGATTGGTCTATAGAGAGTTAAATGTGTTTGGCTTTTAAAATTGGAAACCAGAATTTTTATGACTATTTTTTCCACTTTGAACTATTGTAAAGTTTATTTTGGAAAATCAAAGCTAGAAAAAAATTTCTTTGTTTTAGATCATCACTACTCAGAATGTGGTCCACTGTGGGCAGCAGCATCCCAGCATATCCTGGAAGCTTGTTAAAACTACAGAATCTCAGCCCCAATCCCATACCTGCTGAATCAGAATATGCATTTAAACAAGATCACTTGGTGATTTGTATGTACATTAACATTCGAAAAGCAACTATTCTTGGTGCTTTCTGCTTTATCCTGAAGTACCATCTCAGCCTCAATGGGGGGAGTGACAGATTTATTGGGAACTAAAAATGCATCTGAAAATTTTATGTATCTCATCCCTAAAGTCAGCATCTTACTTAATCGAGAAATACCTGCCAAATTCAGGAATAAGACAAGGATGGACAATGTCATCATTACTATTTAAAACCAGTTTGAAATTATCATCCAGTGCCAGTAGACAGAGGCATATGAATTAGAGAAAAATAGATACAATTATTTCTGTTTACAGATTATATTATATATCAGGAAAACTAAAAAAAAAAAAATCATTGGAAAAACTGCCAAAACACTTAACAGAATTTAGTAAAGTGCAGGTTATAAAATCAATATATAGAAAGCCATAGCTTTAAAAAAAAATAGAGATGGAGTCTTGCCCAGGCTGGTCTTAAATTCCTGGCCTCAAGCGATCCTGCCTTGGCCTCCCAGAGTTCTGGGATTACAGGTGTGAGCCACCATGCCCAGCCAGCAATAGCTTCCGTATATAAAAATAGCAACTGGTTGGAAGATTTAAAGACTCCTTTTATAATTGCAGCAAAACCAACAAAAGTACCTAGGCATAAATAATAAGAAATGACCAAAACATATATGAATAAAACACTCCTGAAAGACACAAAAATAGATATGAACAGATAGTAGGCCGTAAGTTTAGATAGGAAGACTCAATATTATAAAGATATCTAGGCCGGGCGCGATGGCTCACACCTGTAATCCCAGCACTTTGGGAGGCCGAGGCGGGTGGATCACGAGGTCAGGAGATCGAGACCATCCTGGCTAACACGGTGAAGCCCCGTCTCTACTAAAAATACAAAAAAAAAATTAGCTGGGTGTGGTGGCGGGCGCCTGTAGTCCCAGCTACTCCGGAGTCTGAGGCAGGACAATGGCGTGAACCCGAGAGGCGGAGCTTGCAGTGAGCCGAGATCGCACCACTGCACTCCAGCCTGGGCGGTAGAGCGAGACTCAGTCTCACAAAAAAAAAAAAAAAAAAAGATATCTATTGTGATAAATATTATCAGTTTTTTTTCTTGAAGCTAAACAAATTGATTATATGTTTCATTTGGAAAAGCAACTAAACAGAAATAGCCTGGAAAACTCTAAAAAAGGAAAACAATGAGAGGGAGGCTTGATCTTAAACCAGATGTTAAAACATTACAAAGTCTCTATAATTAGAAGAAAATTGTATTGGCAAGTGAATGAACAGACAACTGATGGAACCAAATAGAATATCCAGAAATAAACCTAACTGCACATGGAAATTCAGACCATGATAAAAGCAGCATCTGAAATCAGTGGGGAAAAATGGACTTTTAAATAAGCAGTGTTGGCACAAATGGATAGGCGTATGAAAACGATAAAAATGGATTTATTCTGTGTAGTATATACCAGTATAAATCCTGAATGGGTTAGAAACAAAACTGTACAAATACTAGAAGAAAACATGGGTGAATTCCTTTACCATATGTGAGTGAAAATTTCCAAAAACTAAGAGAAAAGTTTGATAACTTTGGTTTAATTTTTTAAAATTCTGCATGGCAAAAACCCCTAAAAGCAAAGTAAAAATACAAATGATGCTGAGTGCAATGGTTCACACCTGTAATCCCAGCACTTTGGGAGGCCAAGGCAGGTGGATCCTTTGAGCCTAGGAGTTAGAGATCAGCCTAGGTAACATAGGGAGACCCCGTCTCTACAAAAAATAAATAAAATAAAAAAATAGCCGGGTGTAGTGGCACATGCCTGTGGTTCCAGCTGGTTGTGAGGCTGAGGCAGAAGGATCTCTTGAGCCCAGGATGTCAAGGCTGCAGTGAGCTATGATGACTCCACTGTACTCCAGCCTAGGTGACAGAGCAAGACCCTGTCTTGAGAAACTAACAAACAAAAAATGCAAATGACACCTGGAGAAATATTTGCAATTTCTCTCACAGAAAAAGGATTAATATCTATCCCTAATATCTAAAGAACTTCTACAAATTAAGAAGCAAGACAAACAACCTTATGAAACTGGACAAGAAATATGCACACAATTCACAGGAAAAGAAACACAAATGCCACTTGTGATACAAAAAGATGCTCAATCTTGTTTATCATTAGAGAGATGAAAATTAAAACTACATTAAAATACCATCTCTCACCTCTCAGACTGGCAAAAATCTAAGAGTTTAACAGTTGGATTCTGTTGGCAAGGCTTTGAAGAAACTGGTACTTCCATACCTTATTGACAGGAGTACAGCTCTGGTGAAGGGAGATTGTCCATATCTATCAATATTACATATGCATTTTTGCTTTGACCCAGCA